>NC_000003.12:128705574-128857089 GCF_000001405.40 Homo sapiens | reverse complement strand
TGCAAGAGGAAAGGACACTGGAAGAATGAATGTCCAGAAGGCAATAAGGGAGAGGAGGAAGCCAAGGAGCTAGAAGGCTGCCAGCTAAAGGCTATCACACCCAGAAACAG
Organism: Homo sapiens; assembly: GCF_000001405.40. Classification (NCBI taxonomy): domain Eukaryota; kingdom Metazoa; phylum Chordata; class Mammalia; order Primates; family Hominidae; genus Homo; species Homo sapiens. Next base: position 128,856,979 of record NC_000003.12, on the reverse strand, counting down.
CCAAACACCGACTTTATTGGGCTGGCAGGGACTGAAAGGTATGAGGACTAGGCCAGACTGGGCTCCATCTTCTTAGGCCCCCAGGAGCCCATGTCATGGTGGAAGAAGGGGGCCACCTGATGGACTTTATAGTAAACACTGGGGCTGAACACTTGGCAGTGATACAGCCCATGACTTTAAGCCTGCTCCATCCTGAAGAAATGGTGTTAACCCTTACCATCCCGCAGGCAGAGGAATGGAGACTGTACACAGATGGGTTGCCAAAGCCAGGGCTAGATGAGCTGTATAAGTTACCTAGTAAAATTCCTGGAGTGTAGGCCGAAGATACCACCCGCCCCGGCCTGGCTGTGAACCAGGCACCAGTGATAGTGGAACTAAAATCGGGGGCAACACTGGTTCAGGTTCATCAGTACTTCCCCAAGAAGCTGTACAGGGCATTCAAGGGCATTTGAAGCAGCTATTAGAACACAGGACCTTGGCCCAATGCCAGTCACTGTAGAACACTTTTGCCAGTGTGGAAACCAAGGACTAATGAATATAGACCAGTGCATGACATGTTGCAAACCAGGCCCCCAGGGATTCCAGAAATGGAAATTACACACAGTCAACCAGCCACAAAGCTCAGGAAAAGTGGAGCACATGAATCGGACACTCAAGCAGCTACTAAAGAAATATTGCCAAAAAACTCATCTAAGATAGGATCAGGTCCTGCCCATGGTCCTCCTCCAAGTCAGGTGTACCCCCACCAAACAAACTAGGTATTCACCCTCTGAAATCTTGTTCGGCCAGCCACCCCCAACCATAGGTCAAATTAAAGGTCAAAATTAAGGTAATTCCGTGAGTTAAGGGAGCTAACCTTGAGAAGGCAGATGCAGGCCTTAGGGAGAGCCATGCAAGAGATCCATGGCTGGGTACTGGAAAGAATGCCCATAGGACTAACAGACCAAACACACCCCTTTAGACCCAGGGATTCTGTTTAGGTCAAGAAATAGAATCCAACCACTTTAGGACCCATATGGGATGGGCCCCATACTGTAATCTTGTCCACTACCACTGCTGTTAAAGTTGCAGGAATCGTGCCTTAGATCCACCACAGTTGGCTGAAACTGGCAGCCCAGGACAAGTGGACCAGCCAGCAAGACTCAGACCATCCAAACCAGCTGATCCTATGACAGGACCGAGGTGCCAGTGAAAGTGACAACAGCCCTGCTCTGGTGACTCCAGAAGCCGACCAGTCTATGCACAGCTGAAGCTTGAGGAGACAGCAGTCCTGTTAGTCACCCCAGAAGCTGACTAGTCTATGCACAGCCGAAGTTTCATCTAGGAAGTAAATGTAGTTAGAAATCTTAAGCCCAGTAATTTTCCTTGTAATCTTAATTGTTTTACTATTAACCTGTCACTGTGCTCAACCTCCTCCCCTGGATAAGGACCTCTGTTGTCCATGCTGGGTATGAACATACTATTCCTTACTTTGTTCTTGCTACTCCCTCTATCCATGTTAGAAGGAGGGGTATGCGGAAACTTTAAACTAATTGTTGCCTAGAAATTGATGACAATAGGAAGGTCATTGAAGATATAACTGCAAAAATTCAAAAATTAGCCCATGTCCCAGTCCAAATTTGGAAAGGATGGTCTCCAGATACCCTCTTTGGGGGCTGGTTTTCGTCCCTTGGAAGATTTAAGACCTTAGTAGGAATAGTTCTGGTCATACTGGGAGTCTGTCTCACACTCCCTTGTCTCCTACCTCTCCTTGTTAAAAACATCCAATCAGCCATAGAGGTTCTTGTAACCAGGTAAACCACCACCCAACTAATGGCATTAATCAAATATCAACCTTTGCCAAATAAAGGACTAACTCCTCATGGAGAATTAAATTCTGATGATAATGCTTTCTATTAAACTTTATTTATAAACAGCATCAAAGGGGAGAATTAAGCAGGAAATATAAGAAAAACAAGTAAAGGGAAAACAAGTCCAGTTGGAGCTATGATAACATTATCTGCAAGGCCAGGCAGGGGCCCCAAAGAAATGGATTCCAAGAATAGGGATGAGAAAAACAAGTTCTTATCCGTCTCCCCCTGGAATTCTCTCCCAATGCCATTATTCTTTGTTCTGCGCTTGTAACTATTTTTGTAACTATTTCTGCAAGTTTGCAAGGATTTTATAAGTTCCTGTTTTCCCATCTGTGCAGGATGGCAAAGGTCACAAGACATGCCTGAATTGCAAAACCTGTCACAGTTAACTGCCTTTGTTCTGCTTCTGTAAGCTTGCTTTCCCCACCCTGCAAGTTTTGTGCCACTGGCTAGCCACTCCCCTTCAGTTGCCTGAATAAAAGTTAAGCCTGGCCTTTGTTCATTTATCAGCCTCTGAATATTAACCCACTAGGCCGGTGGCCACCTAAATAAAATCCTCCTGTTTCACCCATTGGTCTCTCCAGTCTCCTGATTCCCGCAACAGTCAGTCCAAGGCTCAGTTTCCCCATCTGCACAAAAGGGCCCCCTCCAGCTCTGATTCCGAGGATCCAGCCTCAGTCTGTGTCTGTGAACAGTGCTGGGTGATGATCCTGTTGACCCCTCATGTGCCTGTGACAAGGAAGGTACCACAGGGACCTAGAGATGCCCATTGAACTAAGAGGACACTCAGGCCAGAGAGGAGTGGCTGCCAGAGGCTGAGCAGTGGGGCAGTGGTTCCAGCTGGGACTGGTCCCGATCTCTTATCTCCAAGTTCTCACCACTGTGCCCATATTCTTGGAAGGAGGAAGTAAGGAAGAGGTGGACTGGGCAGCCTCAGGTGGATCTGAGTCTAGCTGCACCTCAGGCAGCTGAGGGTCCCCAGGCCTCAGTTTCCCATCTCTCCCCAGCAAGGCTGTGAAGCCAGGAGCCCCTGGTGGCTGTCACACAGGTGGGCAGAGGCCCCTCCTCCAAGGTTGCTGCTGTGTCTCTTCCCTGGCCTGGAGTCTGTGTGCCCATGGCAGAGGCCACCACTGGGCAGGGTGATTACCCCGGGCCTCCCTGATACTCACCCCTGCAGATCTGGAACATCAGCCTGGAATGGAGACCTTGTCACGGCCCTCCCTGCTTGCCACCCACAGCAGCTGAACACGCCATTCAGCCGTTCAGAGGTGGAGGCAGAGCCTGCACCTGGGCTCCCGAGGGCTGGGGCTCGGGTGCCCCAAGATGGCTGCCCAAGGGCCCCGACCCCACACCTTGAAGCTCCTCACAGCTCCTCCCCAGCCCACAGAGGGGAAGTCAGAGGGCAATGGCTCAGAAAGTCCCCCACACTCAGGCTCATGTGGGAACACTGAAAAGAGGAGCTCAGGGGGACCCCATCATTGTGGGAGACGCTGAGGCCCCATAAAGCCTCATGCAGAGGAGAGGGCCTGGCTGCAGCCCCACTGTCTGCCTGCCTTCCGGAGCACCAAAACCTCCCCAGGATTTCCTTTCACTTTGAAGGCAAGTGTCTCCCAGGTATGAATACTGAATCTCCCCAACTTAATGCCAATTTGCAACCTGAGAGGGGGATCTTGTGGGCCTTGCTTGAGCTCCCCAAGGGCCCCTCAGAGTCTGTGCCCCCGCCCCGGTGCCACTCCCCTCTGGAAGTGCCGGCCCTGTGAGAAGGCACCTTCTCCAGGTCTGGCTTCCACCATTGAGGAGGCCCTTAAAAATGCCACAGTTCGGCCGGGCGCGGTGGCTCATGCCTGTAATCCCAGCACTTTGGGAGGCCGAGGCGGGCGGATCACGAGGTCAGGAGATCGAGACCATCCTGGCTAACATGGTGAAACCCCGTCTCTACTAAAAATACAAAAAATTAGCTGGACGAGGTGGCAGGCGCCTGTAGTCCCAGCTGCGCGGGAGGCTGAGGCAGGAGAATGGCGTGAACCCCCGGGGGCAGAGCCTACAGTGAGCCGAGATCGAGCCACTGCACTCCAGCCTGGGCGACAGCGAGACTCCGTCTCAAAAAAAAAAAAAAAAAATGCCACAGTCCTCAAGACCATTGGCCCAGGGAAGCCTGGGTGAGGTGAAGTTGACCCAGCACGAACTCACTGGGACTCAGGTGGCTGTAAAAATAAAATCTATAACTAGGGGCTCCCCCAGCCTTCTGAGTCTACACAGAAAGGTAGACGTCATGAAGGCCCTGAGTGTCCCATCATAATAAAGCCATATCATGTCATTGAAACCTCAGACATCCCATACTGAGCTATGGTGATACTCATAGTGAAGACCTTTTCCACCAAACACTCCAGCCTGGCCACATGGAGAAGGAGGAGGCTCAAGCCATGTTTCTGCAAATACTATCTGCCCTGTAGTACTGCCACCAAAGTCAGCCGCCAGGACCTGGGTGGCAGGACTCCTGCATGAAGAGCACAACATGAAAAGAGCTGACTTTGGCTTCAGCACCACATATTCCCAAGGCCAGAAGCTGAGCGCCTTTGGTGGGACTCCCCTTAAGCTGCCCCAGAACTCTTCCTGGGCCACGAGTATCACAGCCCTGCAGTGGTCGTGTGGGTCTTGGCTCTCCCGTCTACCACATGGGGCCAGGGCCCTGCCATTTGGCAGGCAGAACTTCTCAGCCTCAAAAAAACATACTCAAGGAAAATATGTACTGTCTATATTCCTTCCGAATTGAAATATTTATCAAGAAATTTCTGATCCTTGACCCCAGAGAATGACCCACAGAGGACCAGCTGATGCGGGACCCCTGGGTCAATGCTGGCCAGGGAACCCTTGGGCCACACATAGAGCTGCTCCCCAGTCACCTGGGCCCCCTAACAACCTGACTCTTGGTAGCCGTGACATTCTAGGCACATCAAGGAATCCCCAGTAGGAAAAAATATATATATAATTATTCCATGGCCACCTACCTAATCCTGGGGATCCCACTGACCTTCCCCATCCCCCAAAGTTAAGTCCAACTTTTCTGTCCAACCAAAGGGGAGTCAAGGGCTGGAATGTTTGGTGAAAAAGGTCTTGACTGTGGCCTTTCCCACCCTTACTTCAGAAATCCAGCAACCCAAGGAGGACCAGGGCCAGGGCAGAAGATGCCCAGAGAAGCCACCTTGCCTGCTTGTCCCCTTCTGGGCCTGGAGGTGATGTGACCCAATACCAGCACATCTCCGAGTGTGGCCCTGTGGCCTCCCCCTCCATCCAGAGCACCAGCAGCAGTGGGAGCGGCCCAGGAGTCAACTGCCCCCAGGGAACATCCCAGGACGTCAGTTCTGTCCATGTGGGAGACCCAGGAGGAGTCACCTGTCCCCAGGGAACAGCCCGGGAAGCCAGCACCCTCTCCACTGGGCATCAGATGGTGTGACCTCAGCCTCTCCCTGTGAAGAGAGCCAGGGCTGCCAGGGAGCCACTAGATTTGTCTTCAAAAACATTTTGCTTCCTCCTGGCCCCAAAGACCCACTGTGCATGGAGAAATACAGTGGCTCCAGTAAACCCAGGGGACAGCTGCGGCCCAGACACAAACCAAGCGGAGGGTGGGGGGCAAGCTGCCTTTTCTGCACTTTATTTTATTTATTATGCTTTTGTTGGTTTCTTTTTTTGTTTTTAGAAAATGTCTCTGAGTCATATGTTCATTATTATTATCATTATTATTTTGAGATGGAGTCTCACTCTCTCGCCTAGGCTGGAGTGCAGTGGCGCAATCTCTGCTCACTGCAAGCTCTGCCTCCCGGGTTCACGCCATTCTCCTGCCTCAGCCTCCCAAGTAGCTGGGACTACAGGCACCTGCCACCACGCCCGGCTAATTTTTTGTATTTTCAGTAGAGACGAGGTTTCATCATATTAGCCAGGATGGTCTCAATCTCCTGACCTGGTGATCCGCCCGCCTCGGCCTCCCAAAGTGCTGGGATTACAGGCGTGAGCAATGGCACCTAGCCGTTTATTATTTTTTAATTATTATTTTTAATTGGAAAATTATGCTTGTATTCATTTATGGGATATAATGTGAGGATTAGATAGATGTGTGCACCATGGAATGATCAAATCTTAGCATCTCCATCACCTCAGAAAGGCAAATTCCACATGAAGTTACGGAAGTCTTGATCGAAAAATGTTGACCCCGTAGAAGTAGCGAGTAGATCAATGGTGACCAGGGGCTGGGTATCAGGTGTGGGGGTGGGAAAGAGGGAGAGAATGGAGAGTTGTTGCTCAAAGGACCAAAGTCTGAGATGGACAGGAAGAAGAGGTTTTCACATCCAGTGCACAGCAGGGTGACCAGAGTCAATGAGAATGTATTGCGTATTGCAAAACACCTGAGGGAGTCCATGTCAGTCAAATGTCTTTCTGTACTTAGAATGGAGAGGACGAAGGCCCTGAGGTCCAAGAACACTACAAACATGACAGGTCAGCCACGTGTGGGCTCCAACGGCCGCATGGGAGAACTGGGCAAGACACCCTCGCTGCTGTGTGTCTGACACCCCCAGCCTGGAGGCCTTGTCCAGTGGAGGACAGAAGTGTGTAAAGTGGCAGAGGGGTCTCTGCATGGGATTCAAATCAAGTAAGCTTCTGGTAGCCGTGTGGCCTTGAAAGCATTCTTATCCAAAGGAAGGGGTGAGATGGACCGCCTGGAGCCTCCTGGACATCAGAGGGCGCCTCCATCCCACCTAGTGGAATGTAAAAGCCTGGACAGTGTTTCCTGGGGCACTTCTCCCCTGCCCTGCTCTTCTCTGTCTTTTCTTCATCCAGATGGTTCTAATTTGGCTCATGTTAGGGTAGGAGAGAAGATATGGCCCAGGGCACTGTCTCTTCCTCCTGTGTGCTCCTGCTTCCTCTGCCCTGCCACCTCCTTCTCCCCTAACCCCGCCCAGGTCACTGCAGTCCTCTCTCCATTTGGAGGCAGCCAGAGTGATAGTGCAGCCCCCCGGGAGGCCATGGCCGGGAGCTTTGTGGGCAGCAGCCAACGGAGTGCCAGAGGCACTCGACCTGCCCACGGGAGCAGCTTCCATTTGTTCACACTAATCCAGGGCGTGCCCTCACGGGGTAGCTGGGGAGCACAAACTGTGTGCACTTGGATATCCTCCAGGGATTCTGCAGAGTCTAAAGGGGACGGTGGAGGGGAAGTGTCCTCTGGCTGTGCCCCTGAAGTCTGATTGTGCCTCCGGGGTCTGCACACAGCCGCAGAGCAGGGGATGACCACAGGGCCTCTCTGGGGACACCTCCTAGCTGCCCCCACATGGCCACTGATGCACCCAGGGCCTCAGGTGTGATTCGACAGTCACTGGCCCGGGTCCCCTCAAAGCAAAACGGGGGCTCCAGGGTGGGCAAGGGTGAGGGTGTGACCCCAGAAGAGTCATGAAAGGATAAGGAGGGGAGTGGCTCTTAGTTTCTGGGCACACCCCTCCCCTCTCCTGTGCAAGGGAAAATGATAGAGGGAACATGGCAAAGGAGACCAGGCTCTGGAGAGGGCTCTCGGTCTCCACCCTCCCCAGGCAGCCTGTGCGACTCTAGCCTAGTTATTGGAGTTGGCGTTGTGCCTCAGTTAGCATAGTTCAGAGGTAGGATTTGTAGTCAGGGTAGTTAGGAGGCACCACGGAGGAGGGATCAGCCTCCAACGCACTTGATGAAGAGATCCAAAAGTGTAGGATCCTCAAGACCATCGGCCAGGGCACGTTCGGTGAGGGCACACTGGTCCAGCATATGCTGACAGGGACCCAGGTAGCCATGGAAATCATCCCGAAGAAGGCTGGCTCCCCCGCATCACTCTCCAGAGAGGTCAGTATCACGGAGACCCTCAAGCGTCTGAACATTCAGCTCCATCAGGTGACTGACACCATAGACACCGACTATTTGGAGATGGAGTGCGTCGGACGAGGACAGCTGCACCACCAGATATGCCACCACAGCCACATCGAGGAGGAGGAGGAGGCCCACACCCGGTTCAGGCAGATTCCGTCAACACTGCAGGACTGCCACTTAAAGAACATCTCACATGGAGACCTAAAGCCACAAAACATCCTACTGGATGAGGATGGCAACATCAAATACCTGGACTTTGGCTTCAGCACCACACTTACGAAGTGTGCCAGCCTTTTGTGGCACGTACCCCCTACGTGGCCCCAGAACTCTTCCTGGGCCAGGGGTGTCAGTGCCCGCCGTGGAGGTATGCTTAGAGTAATGCTACACCACATGGTAGCCGGGGCTCTGCCCTTCTACTCTATGCACATCAAGAACAAAATAAACAGGAAAGTACACATTGCCTCCATTTTTCTTTTCATTTCAAATAGATTTATTAAAAAGTTACTAACACTAGACCCCAGGGTGTGACCCCCACTGGAACAACCAATGAGGGACCCGTGGGTGGACAGTGGCCAGAAGATGCTACTGACTTCATACCAAGAATGACTCCTGAACTACCCGAACCCCAACAACGCAGCTCATGGTGGCCATGGGATTCCAGGCCAAGAGCATCTCCATGTCAAAGAAAAAACATTCAACTATCGCATGGCCACCTGCCTCATTTTAGAGTGCACAAAAAAACAGAAGAGGAAGCGCTCCACCATCAGAGCACCCTCCCTTCCTCTGGGGTTCCCACCTTTTCTTCCCCAGCCCCCAAAGTTTCCACCTTCTGGGAGAAACTGAAGAGGGCTCAGAGCGAGCCAGCTTTTGAGACTTTTAAAATTCAGCTGCCCGAGGAGGGCCAGAAGTCAGGACAGAAGACCACCATTCCTGCCAGTGCACCTGCCGGCCTGCAGAGGAAGCCAGCCATTTCCAGTGAAGTCCCCCAGCATGACTCCATGGCCTCTCCCTCCAGCCAGAGCACCAGCAGCAGTGGGTCCCTGGCTCAGTGACAATCATCACAGGAAGCCAGCGTCCTCCAAGCTGGGCAGCCCAAAGCTGTGATGTCGCCTCGCTGTCAAGAAGCTGGGGCTGCCGCAGGGCCGCCAGGAGATGCCTTTCAATGCTTTTAAAAGTATTATGTGTGTGTCCACCGAAGAAAACAAGCAAAATGATTGCCCCGACATAGTTGGATGGCTGAAGACAAAAATCGAGTAGGTGGGGCAGTCAAGCCGCACTTCCTGCATTTTACTGCATTAAGGCCCTGAGGTTCAAAAATATTAAAAACCTGTGACATGTTGGCCATGTGTAGACTGCAACAGCTGTGGGTGGGAGGCAGGCAAGAGGCCAATGCTTCCATGTGCCCAGCACACCCAGCCCAGTGGCATTCAGCAGAGGATGGAGGTGTCCAAGTTGCTGCCGGGGTCAGTGAACATGATTCTAGTCAAGACGGCATCTGGCAACCCTGCGGCCTTCAAAGGCCTCCTATCCAAAGCTACGGATGAGCTGAAGGACAGCATGACACCTCCTGGAGACCAGAGGGCCCCTCTGCCCCACCTGGTCCAGGGCACCATCTCTTCCTCCGGTCTGTCCCCTGCTTCCTCTGCCCTGCCCCCTTCCCCTTCCTCCCTGCCCAGCTCACTGCCATCCTCTCTCCACCTTTCCAAGGTAGACATAGCTTGCTGCTCTCCTGAGGCCCCACTAAGGCTGTGACTCTGGTCCCCGCTATCCTCTTGGACTTTATTTCCCTGGCACCCTCCACACCTCCTTTTTGTTTGTCCCAGCCCCGCCCCCAACTCCCTGTCCCCCAGCTCCTCCTCTCCCATTCCTAATCCCCTCATCCTGATTCCTTTTCTCCTACATCTTCTCTAGCTAAATCATCTTTCCTTTACATGCTAATAATCTGCCCTTCTGTCCCCTAGATGTCTGCCTTGTGCAACATGGAATGATGAAAATCTAGAAACTGGAATCTAACTCCTGGCCCTAGTCAGGACTCAGGTTTTGTGAAAGGGAGAAAAAAAAAAAAGCAACTCCCCATCAAAACCAATACCTAGTCTAGAGCCTGATATAAGCGCCACTCAAAACATGTTTCCTTCCATTATTCTTCTATAGCCAGGTAACTATTCCTAAAATAGAAGCCCCTGAGACCACTGAGAAGCATTGCAGTGTGGAGTGACAAGGGTCTGAGAGCCGGTCTTACTGTCCCTTGTCCCCCAATCACAGTTAACATGAAGCCGAACTCCAGAGAAGAGCCAGGCCCATAGGGCATTTAGATTTTACTCCAAGTCTAATTCCCAGTCCAGTGCTCCTGCCTCCAGCATCTGCATTTCCTCTGTCCGCCTGGCCGAGGAAGGGGTGCGTGGCAGAGTGCAGAGCATGGGGAAAGAAAGCGAGGCCCACGGGTAGCCCCAGGAGGGCGGTGCGATGCATTCAGCTCTCGCCCCCTGCCTGGGTGCAGGCCTCCAAGTGGGTCTTCCTGTTTCTCCATCTTCTGAGGCCCAAAGCTTCCTCAGAGCCTCCGTGGGTCCCACCCCCGCACCCATCACACGGTGTCTGGGCCCTGCCTGCCTGGCTCACATCCCCACCCCCACCCGCTGCCCTAGTTCCATCCTGGGACAGCCCACTGGGCACTGCGGTTCCCCCTCTTAGAAGACTTTCACAGGCCCTGCCTGTCCCTTTTGCCAATCAAGTGAATGTCATCTCCTCAGAGAAGCCCTCCCTTAGCACCCCATCTGCAGTAGGGTCACCCCCATCTTCCATCATCACTTTTCCTGGTGTTTCCTTCCTAGCCCCTGTCCCTACTGGGAGTTTTCTGTACTGATAGACCAGTCTCTCTCGCCCACCAGGGGGCCAGCGTGTCTGTCTTCTCTGTCCCAGCACACTGAATGATTATTTGTGGGCATAAATGAAATGAAGGCCCCCGAGGTGCTGTGGCCCTGGTGCAGCCACGTCCCGGCGGGCGGCACTGAGGAAGGACAAGCTCCAAAACCCAGGGCTCCAAAGGACCCATGGAAGGTCGGGAGGCTCAGAGGAGTGACCCCGCGGCTGGGCCAGCGCTTTGAGGCCCGTAGGGACCCAGCTGATAGGGCTTGGGTGAGACCTCCGGAGGCGCTGAGCGGGCCGGGAGCCGCGGGACCTGCAGAGGGCGCCAGTCCGTGTGGGGGCAGCAGCGCCAGAGGGCCCTTGGCCTTGGCCTTTGGCGGTTGAGTGTGGGTTTTTGGCGGTTGAGGGCGGGCAGTTGGCTGTTGGGCACCCCGCCCCTGCCGCCTGGCCCCGCCCCTGTCTCCATGGAGACCCGAGGCTACCCAAACGGCATCTCAGCCCTGCCAGGCAATCCAGGACTCCCAGCTGAGCCTGCAGCAGGGCTCCTCCCGAGGGGCTGTGCATGTTTCCCCGGGGTGGGGCTGAAGCCAGAGCCCGGAGGTTTGCCCGTGGGGCACGGATCCCCCTGTCACTCGCCCCCACGGGCTGCAGTGAAGGAGGCTCTGATGGGAGGATTTCCAGCTCCTACCCTGCAAGGATATGAACCCCAGGGAAGGCATTCCTGCTCTGGGGACTGCCTCCCTCCCCAACATCAGAGCCAGCCATCGCAGAAGCTAGGCCAAGCTGACCACTCTTGTCTGTGATCTCTGCTAGGGAGGCTGAAAGAACATCCAGCCCCACCCGTGGTTCCTTTCTGCCTCAAGCTATATGACAATACGACACCTTATCTATTTTTTCATTTCCACTGGAGACACTAGTAAAACAATTCCTCACCCTCAGCCCCAGGGAGCGGCCCCCACTAAACCAGCTGATGTGGAATTCCTGGGTCAATGCTGGCCGGGAGGTGCTGCTGACACCATACAGAGAACCTGGGCACCTGCGCCCCCTACAGCCCTGGTCATGGTGGCTAGGGGATTCCAGCCCGAGAACATCTCAGTGTCAACACTGGAAAAGAAATCAACTCTCCCATGGCACATACCTCGTTTTAGAACACACAAAAGAACAGAAGAGGAAGCGCTCCACCATCAGAGCAATGGCCCTTCCTCCTGGGGTTCCCATCTGTCCTTCCCCGTCTGCCAAAGTTTCCACCTTCCCAGCAAAACCAAAGGGGGCTCAAAGCAAGCCAGTATTTCCTACTTGTCATTTTCAGTTGCCCAAGCAGGGACAGAAGTCAGAGAAAGTCAGATAAGAGTCTTGTTTCCCCCAAGAGAACAGGACTAGGAAGCCAGAAGCGGGTTGGGGACCAGGTGGGAATGCTGTGGGCCCCCTTGTCTCCCCAGTGTGCTGCTGTCCTTAAAATCCACTTTGGGAGTGAGGGTCCTCCAGGTGTCAATACTGAATCTCCCTCCACCCAATGCCAGTTTGCAACCCCAGACGGGGTCCCTGTGGGCTCTGCTTGAGCTCCCGAAGGGCCGGCCCCTCAGAGTCTGTCTTCCCCACCTTGCTGCCATCCACCCTCGGGAAGTGCCAGCCCTGTGAGAGGAGGCGCCCTCCCCAGGCCTGGCTTCCACTGGCACTGGACAAGGCCATAATTGTTTCTGGCCCATGACCTGTGGTACAGCCTGACATCTCTTCTCTGGAAGCCAGGGCTCCAGGCTCAGCCAGCTAGGCTGGATCAAGAGACCATAGGGAAGTGGCTTCAGGCACCAGAACAAAGCCCACAAAGAGAAAGCCCCCTCCAGTATCAACTCATGCCAGGCCTCAGGAGCCGTGTGGCCCTAGGTACAGGCCGGGCAACCTTGGCTTGTTCACCTCCCTTTGCGGCAGCGTAGCTAGGAGGCACCATAGAGCCGGGATCGGCCTCCACCTCACCTGGCAAAAAGATACAAAACTATGGGATCCTTGACACCATCCGCCAGGGAACTGGCCCGGCATAGGCTAACTGGGACCCAAATTGTCCTCCAAATCATCCCTAAGAAGGCTGGCCTTGCTCTCTAGAGAGAGAGATGAGTATCATGAAGACTCTCTATCACCCAAATATCATTCAGTTCCACCAGGTGACTGACAAGGTGGAAACCATGTATGTGGTGATGGAGTACGCCAGAGGAGGAGAGCTACAGCACCAGATATGCCACCAAGGCCACATCGAGGAAGAGGAGGCCTGAACCATGTTCAGGCAGATTCTGTCAGCCCTGCACTACTGCCACTTGAAGAACATCACACATCCACACACAAAACATGCTACTCAATGAGGAACGCAATATAAAAATCATGGACTTTGGCTTTAGCATGACATTCGGGGAGGCATAGATGCTGAAAACATTTTGTGGCGCGCACCCCTACGTGGCCACGGAACTCTTCCTGGGCCAGGAGTGCCAGCGCCACCATGATTGTATGGAGCCTCCGTGCCACACTGTATTCCATGGTGGCCGGGGCCCTGCCCTTCTACTCAGGGAACCCTACAGGCCTCAAGAAAAAATGATCAGTGCAGAATACCGTTCACCACAATTTTTTTCCCCAACGAATGGAAAGACTTATTAAAAAGTGACTAATGCTGGACCCCAAGGAGTGTCCTTCACTGGAACAAGTGATGAAAAATCCATAGGTGAAAAGTGTCCAGAGGTTGCCAGTCACACCACACCAAGAGCCACTCCTGGACCACCCGAACCCCAAACAACCCAACTTGTGGTGGCCATGGGATTCCAGGCCAAGAACATCTCAGTGTCATCAATGGAAAACAAATCAACTATCCCAAGCAACCTCTCATTTTAGATCACAGAAAACAACAGAAGAGGAAACACTCCACCATCAGAGCATCGTCCCTTTTTCCTGGGGTTCCCACTGTCCTTCCCCATCTGCCAAAGTTTCCATTTCCCAGTAAAACCAAAGAAGGCTCTAAGCAAGCCAGTATTTCCTACTTATCATTTTCAGCTGCCCAAGAAAGGCCAGAAGTCAGAGAAAGTCAGATAAAATTCTCCTTCCCCGCAAGAGAAAAGGACCAGAAAGCCGGAAGCAGGCTGGGGACAGGCTGGGAGTGTTGTGGGGCCCCTTGTCTCCCTAATGTGCTGCTGTCCTTAACATCCACTTTGGGGGTAAGGGTCCCCAGGTGTCAATACCGAATCTCCCTCCACCCAGTGCCAGTTTGCAACCCCAGAGAGAGGGTCCCTGTGGGCCCTGCTTGATTTTCTCAAGGGCCCCTCAGAGTCTGTCCCTCTGCCTTGCTGCTGTGCCCCACTGGAAGTGCCCGCCCTGTGGGAAGCAGGCCTGGCTTCCATTTGCATCAGACAAGGCGAGAGTTGTTTCTGACCTGTGACCTGTGGTAGAGCTTGACATCTCTTCTCCAGAAGCCCAGGGCTCCAGGCTCATTGAGCTGGGCTGGGTCAAGAGACCACAGAGAAAGGGGCTCCAGGCACCAGGGCAAAACCCACAGACAGAAAGTGCCCTCCAGTGTCCACCCAGGCCGGGCCTCAAGAGCCATGCAGCCCTCAGTGCAGGCCAGGCAACCTTGGCTTGTTCATCTCCCTTTACCTCCAGCAGCCTCTGTTGGGGGGACATTCTTCTTGGGAGGGACTGACAGCCATGGAGGGGTGGGAGCAGGCCTGAGCAGGGTGGGGTCCCTAGAGGCAACCCAGAGAGCAGGGTCAGGCAGCCGAGGGGCTCCAGCTCCACTGTCCAGGTGAGGAAACCGAGGCTGAAGAGAAATCAGGTAGCATTTCTGATATGGTTTGGCTGTGTTCCCACCCAAATCTCATCTTGAATTGTAACTCCCACAGTTCTCAAGTGTCGTGAGGGGAATGTGGTGGGAGGTAATTGAGTTATGGGGGCGGGTCTTTCCCATGTTGTTCTTGCGATAGTGAATGAGTTTCACCATATCTGATGGTTTAAAAAACCATCTGTTCCCTTCCTCAGAAGACTTCCACAGGCCCTGCCCATCCCTTTTGTCAATCAAGTGACTGTCACCACCTCAGAGAAGCCCTCCCTGAGCACCCCATCTGCAGCAGGGTCACCCCCATCTTCCAACAGCACTTTTCCTGGTGTTTCCTTCCTAGCCCTTGTCCCTATTGGTAGTTTTCTGCACTGATAGACTAGTCTCTCTCATCCACCTGGGGGCCAGCTTGTCTATCTTCTCTGTCCCTGCACACGGGAGATGCTCAATAATCATTTGTCAGCAAAAATGAAACAGGAAGGCCCCTGAGGTGCTGGGATTCGGAGCCGTACACCCCAGGTGAGGAAGGAGCCTTGAGGAAGGGGAGAGTGTCAGGCCTCTGAGCCCAAGCTAAGCCATCATATCCCCTGTGACCTGCACGTATACATCCAGATGGCCTGAAGTAACTGAAGATCCACAAAAGAAGTGAAAATAGCCTTAACTGATGACATTCCACCATTGTGATTTGTTTCTGCCCCACCCTAACTGATCAATGTACTTTGTAATCTCCTCCACCCTTAAGAAGATTCTTTGTAATTCTCCCCACCCTTGAGAATGTACTTTGTGAGATCCACCCCCTGCCCCCAAAACATTGCTCCTAACTCTACCGCCTATCCCAAAACCTGTAAGAACTAATGATAATCCCACCACCCTTTGCTGACTCTCTTTTTGGACTCAGCCCGCCTGCACCCAGGTGAAATAAACAGCCTTGTTGCTCACACAAAGCCTGTTTGGTGGTCTCTTCACACAGACGTGTTAGACATTTGGTGCCGAAGACCCGGGTCAGAGGGACTCCTTCGGGAGTCCCTTGTCCTCACCCTCACTTCGTGAAGAGATCCACCTACAATCTCCGGTCCTCAGACCAACCAGTCCAAGGAACATCGCACCAATTTCAAATTGGGTAAGCGGTCTTTTCACTCTCTTCTCCAGCCTCTCTCGCTACCCTTCAATCTTCCTCTCTTGCTACCCTTTGATCTCCCTGTCCTTCCAATTCCAGTTCTTTTTCCTCTCTAGTAGAGACAAAGGAGACACATTTTATCCATGGACCCAAAACTCCGGCGCTGATCACGGACTCAGGAAGACAGCCTTCCCTTGGTGTTTAATCATTGCGGGGATGCCTGCCTGATTATTCACTCACTCTCCATTGGTGTCTGATCACCGCGGGGACGCCTGCCTTGGTCATTCACCCACATTCCCTTGGTGGCAAGTCAATTGCGGGGATGCCTGCTTTGGCTGCTCACCCACATTGCAGCCCAGGGCTGCTCCCCACCCCCCTTCTCTGTGTCTCTACCCTTCTCTTTAAACTTCCTCCTTCACTATAGGCAAACTTCCACCCTCCATTCCTCCTTTTTCTCCCTTAGCCTGTGTTCTCAAGAACTTAAAACCTCTTCAACTCTTGCCTGACCTAAAATTTAAACACCTTATTTTCTTCTGCAATACCACTTGGCCCCAGTACAAACTCTACAGTAGTTCCAAGTGGCCAGGGAATGGCACTTTTGATTTGTCTATCCTACAAGATCTACAGAATTTTTGTCGAAAAATGGGCAAATGGTCTGAGGTGCCTGATGTCCAGGCATTCTTTACACATTGGTCCCTCCCTAGTCTCTGCTCCCGATGAGACTCATCCCAAATCTTTCTTCTTTCTCTGCTGTCTGTTCCTTCAGTCTCCACCCCAAGCTCTGAGTCCTTTGAATCCTTATTTTCTATGGACTCATCTGACCTCTCCCCTTCTCCCTGGGCTGCTCCTCGCCAGGCCGAGCCAGGTCCCAATTCTTCCTCAGCCTCTGCTCCCCCACCCTATAATCTTTCTATCACCTCCTCTCCTCACACCTGGTCTGGTTTACAGTTTCGTTCTGTGACTAGCTCTCTCCGACCTGCCCAACAATTTCCTCTTAGAGAGGTGGCTGGAGCTGAAGGCATAGTCAGGGTACATGTGCCTTTTTCTCCATGAGACCTTTCCCAAATCAGCCGGCGTTTAGGCTCTTTCTCATCAGACCCCACTAAATATATACAGGAATTCCGATATCCAATTCTGTCCTACAATTTAACCTGGAGTGACTTAAGTGTCAACCTAACTTCTACCCGCTCCCCAGATGAATGGGAAAGAGTTTTTTCTCCAGCCCAATCTCATGCTGATAACCGCCAGCTTCATAAGCCAGGCCTCCAGGAAGGCATTAGAGCAGTTCCCCTAGAAGATCCCCAGTGGAACTATCAGGCAGATTCCCCAGGTATAGCTGGGCAAGATTACATGGTTTCCTGCCTAGTTGAAGGGCTTAAAAAGGCAGCTTACAAACCTGTTAATTCTGACAAACTTAAAGAAACTACCCAAGGTAAAGACGAAAACCCAGCCCAGTTCAGGGCCCGCTTAGCAGCAACACTTAGACGCTTTACCGCCCTAGACCCAGAGGGGCCAGAAGGCCGCCTTATTCTTAATATGCATTTTATCACCCAGTCAGCTCCTGACGTTAGAAAAAAGCTTCAAAAATTGGAATCTGGCCCTCAAACCCCACAACAGGAATTAATCAACCTCGCCTTCAAGGTGTACAATAATAGAGAGGATAGAGAGGAGGTAGCCAGACAGCAACGCATTTCTGAGTTACAGCTACTTGCCTCTGCTGTAAGACAACCCACAACCACGTCTCCAGCATACAAGAACTTCAGAACATCAAAGCCACAGCTCCCAGGGGCTCCTTCAAAACATCCTCGTGGACCTTGCTTCAAATGCCAAAAGCCTGGCCACTGGGCCTCAGTATGCCCGCAGCCTGGGATTCCTCCTAAGCCGTGCCCTGCCTGTGCTGGCCCCCACTGGAGGTCGGACTGCCCGACTCACATCGCTGCCGCTCCTAAAGCCCCTGGAACCCAGACCCAACGTTCTTTGGCCGACTCATTCCCAGATCTCCTCGGCTTAGCAGCTGAAGACTGATGCCGCCTGATCGCCTCGGAAGCCCCCTGGACCATCACAGACACCGAGCTTTGGGTAACTCTTACAGTGGAGGGTAAGTCCGTCCCCTCTTTAATTGATATGGGGGCTACCCACTACACATTACCTTCTTTTCAAGGGCCTGTTTCCCTTGCCCCCATAACTGTTGTGGGTATTAATGGCCAAGCCCCAAAACCCCTTAAAACTCTCCAACTCTGGTGCCAACTTGGACAACATTCTTTTATGCACTCCTTTTAATTATCCCCAACTGCCCAGCTCCCTTATTAGGTCGAGACATTTTAACTAAATTATCTGCTTCCCTGACTATTCCTGGGCTACAGCCACACCTCATTGCTGCCTTTCCCCCAGTTCAAAGCCTCCTTCACATCCTCTCCTTGTATCTCCCCACCTTAATCCACAAGTATAGGACACCTCTACTCCCTCCTTGGCGATGGATGATGGACCCCTTATCATCCCATTAAAACTTAATCACTCTTACCCCGCTCAATGCCAATATCCCATCCCACAGCATGCTTAGGAGGATTAAAGCCTGTTATCACTCACCTGCTACAGCATGGCCTTTTAAAGCGTATAAACTCTCCTTACAATTCCTCCATTTTACCTGTCCAGAAACTGGACAAGTCTTACAGGTTAGTTCAGGATCTGCGCCTTATCAACCAAATTGTCTTGCCTATTCACCCCATGGTGCCAAAGCCATATACTCTCCTATCCTCAATACCTCCCTCCACAGCCCATTATTCTGTTCTAGATAAACCTAGCTGACCCCATAAATCCTAAATCCTTTCCCCACTCCCCTTTCCATTCCTTAAAAAATAGCCCTAAAGGCTGCTCCCACACTAGCTCTCCCTAACTCATCCCAACCTTTTTCATTACACACAGCCGAAGTGCAGGGCTGCATGGTCGGAATTCTTACACAAGAGCCGGGACGGTGCCCTGTAGTCTTTCTGTCCAAACAACTTGACCTTACTCTTTTAGCCTAGCCCTCATGTCTGCGTGTGGCGGCTGCCACTGCTTTAATAGGGGCCCTCAAAATCACAAACTATGCTCAACTATCTACAATTCTCATAACTTCCAAAATCTATTTTCTTCCTCATACCTGACACATATACCTTCTGCTCCCTAGATCCTTTGGCTAGACTCACTCTTTTTTGAGTCTCCCACAATTACCATTGTTCCCGGCCTGGACTTCAATCCAGCCTGTCACATTATTCCTGATACCACACCTGACCCCCATGACTGTATCTCTCGGATACACCTGGCATTCGCTCCATTTCCCCAAATTTTCTTCTTTCCTGTTCCTCACCCTGATCACACCTGGTTTAGTGATGGCAGTTCCACCAGGCCTAATCACCACACACCAGCAAAGGCAGGCTATTCTATAGTATCTTCCACATATATCATTGAGGCTACCACTCTGCCCCCCTCCACTACCTCTCAACAAGCCAAACTCATTGCCTTAACTCGAGCCCTCACTATTGCAAAGGACTACGCATCAATATTTATACTGACTCTAAATATGCCTTCCATATGCTGTACCACCATGCTGTTACATGGGCAAAAAGAGGTTTCCTCACTACACAAAGGTCCTCCATCAATAATGCCTCTTTAATAAAAACTCTTCTCAAGGCCGCTTTACTTCCAAAAAAACCTAGAGTCATTCACTGCAAGGGTCATAAAAAGGCATCAGATCCCATCACTCAGGGCAGCACTTATGCTGATAAGGTAGCTAAAAAAGCAGCTAGCATTCCAACTTCTATCTCTCACGGCAGTTTTTCTCCTTCTCATCGGTCACTCCCACCTACTCCCCCACTGAAATTTCCACCTATCAATCTCTTCCCACACAAGGCAAATGGTTCTTAGACCAAGGAAAATACCTCCTTCCAGCCTCACAGGCCCATTCTATTCTGTCATCATTTCATAACCTCTTCCATGTAAAAGTTACAAGCCACTAGCCTGCCTCTTAGAACCTCTCACTTCCTTTCCATCGTGGAAATCTATCCTTAAGGAAATAACTTCTCAGTGTTCCATCTGCTATTCTACTACTCCTCAGGGATTATTCAGGCCCCCTCCCTTCTCTACACATCAAGCTCGGGGATTTGCCCCCACCCAGGACTGGCAAATTGACTTTACTCACATGCTCCAAGTCAGGAAACTAAAATACCTCTTGGTCTGGGTAGACACTTTCACTGGATGGGTAGAGGCCTTTCCCACAGGGTCTGAGAAGGCCACTGTGGTCATTGCTTCCCTTTTGTCAGACGTAATTCCTCAGTTTGGCCTTCCCACCTCTATACAGTCTGATAATGGACTGGCCTTTATTAGTCAAATCACCCAAGCAGTTTCTCAGGCTCTTGGTATTCAGTGGAATCTTCATACCCCTTATCGTCCTTAATCTTCAGGAAAGGTAGAATGGACTAATGGTCTTTTAAAAACACACCTCACCAAGCTCAGCCTCCAACTTAAAAAAGGAGGACTCTGTCAAGGATAGATCCCAAAAACTCACCAGCCAAACAAGTAATTACACTGAACCCCGTTGGGCACTCTGTAATTGGATGTCCTGGGTCCTCCCAATTCTTAGTCCTTTAATATCTGTTTTTCTCCTTCTCTTATTTGGACCTCGTGTTTTCCGTTTAGTTTCTCACTTCATCCAAAACCGTATCCAGGCCATCACCAATCCTATACGACGAATGTTTCTTCTAACAACCCCACAATATCACCCCTTACCACAAAATCTTCCTTCAGCTTAATCTCTTCCACTCTAGGTTCCCACGCTGCCCCTAATCCCACTCGAAGCAGCCCTGAGAAACATTGCCCATTATCTCTCCATACCACCCCCAAAAATTTTCACTGCCCCAACACTTTACCACTATTTCATTTTATTTTTCTTATGAATATAAGACAGGAATGTCAGGCCTCTGAGCCCAAGCTAAGCCATCATATCCCCTGTGACCTGCATGTATACATCCCTCTGGCCTGAAGTAATTGAAGATCCACAAAAGAAGTGAAAATAGCCTTAACTGATGACATTCCACCATTGTGATTTGTTTCTGCCCCACCCTAACTGATCAATGTACTTTGTAATCTCCCCCACCCTTAAGAAGGTTCTTTATAATCTCCCCCACCCTTGAGAATGTACTTTGTGAGATCCACCCCCTGCCCCCAAAACATTGCTCTTAACTCCACTGCCTATCCCAAAACCTGTAAGAACTAATGATAATCCACCACCCTTTGCTGACTCTCTTTTCAGATTCAGCCTGCCTGCACCCAGGTGAAATAAACAGCCTTGTTGCTCACACAAAGCCTGTTTGTTGGTCTCTTCACATGGACCTGTGAGACAGAGAGGACCTGAGATAGTGCCCCCTGCCCACCCTGAAGGTCAGCCCTGGGCAGGGCAGGCCACTGTGCCTTGTGGCATCTGTCACTTGTGACCTTGACAGGTGGCCCGCAGAGGACATAGCTGCACTTGGTCAGCTGTAGGTCTTGGGGCAGCTGCATCAGGGTGGCCCTGACTTGAGACACCCTGATGCCTGTCCACCCGTCCACTCCTGGGCAGCAGCGCTGGAAGGGAGGCAGCCTCCCGGGGCTCTGCCACAGGGTGCAAGGCTGAGGGAGTCTTGGCTTTGGGCTGTTGGCGGTTGAGTGTGGGGCATTGCATTCTTCTTCATTCCTGTCTATAAGGACCACCAGAAGCAATTTGCCTTCAGCTGGGAAGGCCAGCAGTATACCTTCATGGTCCTACCTCAGGGCTCTATCACCTATCTGGCTTTGTGTCATAATCTTCTTCACAGACATCTTACTGGTGCTTCCCTCGCATGAGGTATCACACTGGTCCGTTACATTGACGACATTATGCTGACGGGAGCGACAAGTAGCAACCACACTGGACTCATTGTTGAGACATTTATGTGCCAGCGGATGGGAAATAAATCTGACTAAAATTCAGGTGAGGCTGGAGAATAGGGAAACTGAGCAGGAGGGTAGCAAAGGTAATTAAAAGTTAAATAAAGGGCAGAATGACTAAAAGCAGAAAGTAGAAGCAAGGTAAAAGGGCAGTGGGCAAGAAGCAAGATGAGAGCTAGAAGTTGAGCAGTCAAAACAAAAAGAGAAGTGAGCAAGTACACCCTGGCTGGCAGGATCCAGACCAAACCAGTAAGGGGCCGCTCTTCAGGGCTAGGCATGTGCATTAGAGAGAAAACATTTCCTTACCATGACCCCGTATGATAATCAGCTCATTAAAGCTCATGCATGTTGGGGACCAGCCTCAACACCACCCACAGGGTACCCGAGGTCGGGTGGTAACAAAGGATTGAGAAGAGACAGGTTAAGTGCTCATAAAGGTGGGAGCCAGGGGGCCAGTTGCAAATGGAGGCCACAAAAGGCTCAGAGCTCTGGTCTCCACACTATTGAGTATAATCACTTAGATCTAAGAAGCAGATGTTCAGGACGAAACAGTGAAAGGGTGGCAGTGCGTCATAGGTGTCAGGCCTCTGAGCCCAAGCCAAGCCATCGCATCCCCTGTGACATGCGCGTATACATCCAGATGGCCTGGAGTAACTGAAGATCCACAAAAGAAGTGAAAATAGCCTTAACTGATGACATTCCACTATTGTGATTTGTTCCTGCCCCACCATAACTGATCAATGTACTTTGTAATCTCCCCCACCCTTAAGAAGGTTCTTTGTAATTCTCCCCACCCTTGAGAATGTACTTTGTGAGATCCACCCCTGCCCACAAAACATTGCTCTTAACTTCACCGCCTATCCCAAAACCTGTAAGAACTAATGATAATCCATCTCCCTTCGCTGACTCTCTTTTCGGACTCAGCCCGCCTGCACCCAGGTGAAATAAACAGCCATGTTGCTCACACAAAGCCTGTTTGGTGGTCTCTTCACACGGACGTGCATGAAATTTGGTACCATGACTCGGTTCGGAGGACCTCCCTTGGGAGATCAATCCCCTGTCCTCCTTGCTCTTTGCTGCATGAGAAAGATCCATCTATGTATGACCTCAGGTCCTCAGATGGACCAGCCCAAGAAACATCTCACCAATTTCAAATCCAGTAAGTAGCCTCTTTTTACTCTCTTCTCCAAATTCCCTCACTATCCCTCAACCTCTTTCTCCTTTCAATCTTGGTGCCACACTTCAATCTCTCCCTTCTCTTAATTTCAATTCCTTTCATTTTCTGGTAGAGACAAAGGAGACACGTTTTATCCGTGGACCCAAAACTCCGGCACCGGTCACGGACTGGGAAGGCAGCCTTCCCTTGGTGTTTAATCATTGCAGGGACATCTCTCTGATTATTCACCCACGTTTCAAAGGTGTCAGACCACGCAGGGACGCCTGCCTTGGTCCTTCACCCTTAGCGGCAAGTCCCGCTTTTCTGGGGGAGGGGCAAGTACCCCAACCCCTTCTCTCTGTGTCTCTACCCCTTCTCTGGTTTTCTGGGGGAGGGGCACATACCCCAACCCCTTCTCTTCATGTCTCTACCCCTTCTCTGGTTTTCTGGGGGAGGGGCAAGTACCCCAAACCCTTCTCTCCGTGTCTCTACCCCTTCTCTGCTCTTCTGGGGCAGGGGCAAGAACCCCTCAACCCCTTCTCCTTCACCCTTAGTGGCAAGTCCCGCTTTTCTAGAGGGCAAGAACCCCCAATCCCTTATTTCCGTGCCCCAACACCTTCTCTGCTTTTCTGGAGGGCAAGAACCCCCTACCCCTTCTCCGTGTCTCTACTCTTTTCTCTGGGCTTGCCTCCTTCACTATGGGCAAGCTTCCACCTTCCATTCCTCCTCCTTCTCCCTTAGCCTGTGTTCTTAAGAACTTAAAACCTCTTCAACTCTCACCTGACCTAAAATCTAAGCATCTTATTTTCTTCTGCAATGCCGCTTGACCCCAATACAAACTCGACAGTAGTTCCAAATAGCCAGAAAACGGCACTTTCAATTTTTCCATCCTACAAGATCTAAATAATTCTTGTCATAAAATGGGCAAATGGTCTGAGATGCCTGACATCCAGGCATTCTTTTACACATCAGTCCCTTCCTAGTCTCTGTGCCCAATGCAACTCATCCCAAATCTTCCTTCTTTCCCTCTTGCCTGTCCCCTCAGTCCCAACGTCAAGCGTCACTGCGTCTTTCTAATCTTCCTTTTCTACAGACCCATCTGACCTCTCCCCTCCTCCCCAGGCTGCTCCTCGCCAGGCCAAGCTAGGTCCCAATTCTTCTTCAGCTTCTGCTCCTCCACTCTATAATCCATTTATCACCTCCCCTCCTCACACCTGGTCCGGCTTATGGTTTCATTCTGTGACTAGCCCTCCCCCACCTGCCCAGCAATTTACTCTTAAAAAGGTGGCTGGAGCTAAAGGCATAGTCAAGGTTAATGCTCCTTTTTCTTTATCCCAAATCAGGTAGCCTTTAGGCTCTTTTTCATCAAATATAAAAACCCAGCCCAGTTCATGGCTCGTTTGGCAGCAACCCTGAGAAGCTTTACAGCCCTAGACCCTAAAAGGTCAAAGGGCCGTCTTATTCTTAATATACATTTTATTACCCAATCTGCTCCTGACATTAAATAAAACTCCAAAAATTAAATTCCGGCCCTCAAACCCCACAACAGGATTTAACCTTGCCTTCAAGGTGTACAATAATAGAAAAAAGTTGGAATTCCTTGCCTCCACTGTGAGACAAACCCCAGCAACATCTCCAGCACACAAGAACTTCCAAACACCTAAACAGCAGTGGCCAGGTGTTCCTCCAGAACTGCCTCCCCCAGGAGCTTGCTACAAGTGCCAGAAATCTGGCCACCGAGCCAAGGAATGCCCGCAGCCCGGGATTCCTCCTAAGCCGTGTCCCATCTGTGTGGGACCCCACTGAAAATCGGACTGTTCAACTCACCTGGCAGCCCCTCCCAGAGCCCCTGGAACTCTGGCCCAAGGCTCTCTGACTGACTCCTTCCCAGATCTTCTCGGCTTAATGGCTGAAGACTGACGCTGCCCGATCGCCTTGGAAGCCCCGTAGACCATCATGGACACCGAGCTTTAGGTAACTCTCACAGTGGAAGGTAAGTCCGTCCTCTTCTTAATCAATACGGAGGCTACCCACTCCACATTACCTTCTTTTCAAGGGCCTGTTTCCCTTGCCTCCATAACTGTTGTGGGTATTGACGGCCAGGCTTCTAAACCTCTTAAAACTCCCCAACTCTGGTGTCAACTTAGACAATACTCTTTTAAGCACTCCTCTTAATTATCCCCACCTGCCCCGTTCCCTTATTAGGCCGAGACACTTTAACTAAATTATCTGCTTCCCTGACTATTCCTGGATTACAGTTACATCTCATTGCTGCCCTTCTTTCCAATCCAAAGCCTCCTTTGTGTCCTCCTCTTGTATCCCCCGACCTTAACCCACAAGATACCTCTACTCCCTCCTTGGCGACCTATCATGCACCCCTTACCATCTCATTAAAACCTAATCATCCTTACCCCGCTCAATGCCAATATCCCATCCCACAGCATGCTTTGAAAGGATTAAAGCCTGTTATCACTTGCCTGCTACAGCATGGCCTTTTAAAGCCTATAAACTCTCCTTACAATTCCCCCATTTTACCTGTCCTAAAACCAGACAAGCCTTACAAGTTAGTTCAGGATCTATGCCTTATCAACCAAATTGTTTTGCCTATCCACCCCATGGTGCCAAACCCATATACTCTCCTATCCTCAATACCTCCCTCTACTACCCATTATTCTGTTCTGGATCTCAAACATGCTTTCTTTACTATTCCTTTGCACCCGTCATCCCAGCCTCTCTTTGCTTTTACTTGGACTGACCCTGACACCCATCAGACTCAGCAAATTACCTGGGCTGTACTGCCACAAAGCTTCACAGACAGCCCCCATTACTTCAGTCAAGCCCAAATTTCTTCCTTATCTGTTACCTATCTCAGCATAATTCTCATAAAAACACACATTCTCTCCCTGCTGATCATGTCCGATTAATCTCCCAAACCTCAATCCCTTCTAAAAAACAAGAACTCTTTTCCTTCCTGGGCATGGTTAGTGCGGCCAGAATTCTTACACAAGAGCCAGGACCACACCGTGTAGCCTTTCTGTCCAAACAACTTGACCTTACTGTTTTAGCCTAGCCCTCATGTCTGCGTGCAGCGGCTGCCGCTGCTTGAATACTTTTAGAGGCCCTAAAAATCACAAACTATGCTCAACTCACTCTCTACATTTCTCATAACTTCCAAAATCTATTTTCTTCCTCATACCTGACGCATATACTCCCTGGCTCCTTCAGCTGTACTTACTCTTTGTTAAGTCCCACAATTACCATTGTTCCTGGCCCGGACTTCAATCTGGCCTCCCACATTATTCCTGATACCACACCTGACCTCCATGACTGTATGTCTCTGATCCAACTGACATTCACCCCATTTCCCCATATTTCCTTCTTTCCTTTTCCTCACCCTGATCACGCTTGATTTATTGATGGCAGTTCCACCAGGCCTAATCACCACACACCAGCAAAGGCAGGCTATGCGATAGCACAAGCCACTAGCCCGCCTCTTAGAACCTCTCATTTCCTTTCCATCGTGGAAATCTATCCTCAAGGAAATAACTTCTCAGTTTTCCATCTGCTATTCTACTACTCCTCAGGGATTATTCAGGCCCCCTCCTTTCCCTACACATCAAGCTTGAAGATTTGCCCCCACCCAGGAATGGCAAATTAGCTTTACTCAACATGCCCCGAGACAGATAACAAAAATACCTCTTAGTCTAAGTAGACACTTTCACTAGATAAGTAGAGGCCTTTCCTACAGGGTCTGAGAAGGCCACGCAGTCATTTCTTCCCTTCTGTCAGACATAATTCCTCAGTTTAGCCTTCCCACCTCTATACAGTCTGATAATAGACCAGCCTTTATTAGTCAAATCAGCCAAGCAGTTTTTCAGGCTCTTAGTATTCAGTGAAACCTTTATATCCCTTATGGTCCTCCGTCTTCAAGAAAAGTAGAACGGACTAAAGGTCCTTTAAAAACACAGCTCACCAAGCTCAGCCACCAACTTAAAAAGGACTGGACAATACTTTTACCACTTTCCCTTCTCAGAAGTCAGACCTGTCCTCAGAATGCTACAGGGTACAGCCCATTTGAGCTCCTTTTTATTAGGCCCCAGTCTCATTCCAGACACCAGACTAACTTAGACTGTGCCCCAAAAAAACTTGTCATCCTTACTATTTTCTGTCTAGTCATACTCCTATTCACCGTTCTCAACTACTCATACATGCCCTGCTCTTGTTTACACTGCCGGTTTACACTGTTTCTCCAAGCCATCACAGCTGATATCTCCTCGTGCTATCCCCAAACTGCCACTCTTAACTCAAAGTAAATAAATAATCTTTGCTGGCAGGACTATGCTGAATCTCCTTAGGCACTCTCTAATCAGATGTCCTAGGTCCTCCCAATTCCTAGACCTTTTATACGTGTTTTTCTCCTTCTCTTATTCCATTTAGTTTTTCAATTCATACAAAACCATATCCAGGCCATCACCAATAATTCTACATGACAAATGTTTCTTGTAACAACCCCACAATATCACCCCTTACCACAAAATCTTCCTTCAGCTTAATCTCTTCCACTCTAGGTTCCCACGCCGCCCCTAATCCCGCTTGAAGCAGCCACAAAAGAAGTGAAAATAGCCTTACCTGATGACATTCCACCATTGTGATTTGTTCCTGCCCCACCCTGACTGATCAATGTACTTTGTAATCTCCCCCACCCTTAAGAAGGTTCTTTGTAATTCTCCCCACCCTTGAGAATGTACTTTGTGAGATCCACCCCCTGCCCACAAAACATTGCTCTTAACTATCCCAAAACCTATAAGAACTAATGATAATCCATCTCCCTTCGCTGACTCTCTTTTCGGACTCAGCCCGCCTGCACCCAGGTGAAATAAATAGCCATGTTGCTCACACAAAGCCTGTTTGGTGGTCTCTTCACACGGACACGCATGAAAATAGGCGTAATCTATAGCAATAGTGGTTTAAATGAATCTCCTTTGTGCTCAAACAGCATATCTTTAATTTATCGGAGAGTAGCTAGTGGAAGCGGGCTTAACTAAGAGCCTGCATGTCTGTCCACATTCCAGTGTTTCAAAAGAGTGTCTTTCTCCTTGAACACAGTGTTTACAGATAAGAGAGCGGGTCTCTTGGCCGGGCTCAGTGGCTCAAGCCTGTAATCCCAGCACTTTGGGAGGCCAAGGTGGGCAGATCACAAGGTCAAGAGATCAAGACCATCCTGGCTAACACGGTGAAACTCCGTCTCTACTAAAAATACAAAAAATTAGCTGGGCATGGTGGTGGGCACCCACTGTAGTCCCAGCTACTCGGGAGGCTGAGGCAGGAGAATGGCGTGAACCCGGGAGGCGGAGCTTGCAGTGAGTGGAGATCGGGCCACTGCATTCCAGCCTGGGTGACAGAGCGAGACTGCCTCAAAAAAAAAAAAAAAAAAAAAAAAAAAAGAGTGGGTCTCGCTCTGAGCGTGGGAACATGATGGCAATTACGAGGCTTTCCTCAACTTATTGTCCCATATTTTTATGGCCAGTTTATGCAGGCACCCCATAAGTCTTTTTCCCAACAATGCATATGGACTGCATATCGGACGCGGTGCACAAGCGCAGAGGGGCCAAAGTAACTAAGCAACCCACCTATCAATCAAAAAGGCAGACACTGGCTAGAGATTAGGGAGCCTTGGGAAGAGAAGGAAAAAACCCATAAAAAGATCCAAACTACACCACGCTGGATCTGATCTCACCTCGCAGAGGTTGGTCTGCGCTCCCCCTCTGAGAGTGGAGCACTGTGCCTAATCCACTTCTGCTGCCTTGCTTTGCTATCTGTGTGTGTCTCATCCAATTCTTTGTTCAAGACACCAAAAGCCTAGACCTGCATGGCACCTTCCGGTAACACAGGGACCTACTACCGCAGTAAAATATCTAGGGGTCCAGTGGGTTGGGGCCTGTCAATATATTCCTTTTAAGGTGAAGGATAAGTTGTTGCATTTGGCCCCTCCTACAACCAAGAAAGAGGCAAAATGTCTAGTGGGCCTATTTGGACTTTGGAGGCAACACATTCCTCATTCAGGTGTGTTACTCCGGCCCACTTGTCAAGTGACCCGAAAGGCTGCCAGTTTTGAGTGGGTCCAGAACAGAAGAAGACTCTGCAAGAGGTCCAGGCTGCTGTGCAAGCTGCTCTGCCACTTGGGCCATATGACACAGCAGATCCAATGGTGCTTGAGGTGTCAGTGGTAGATAGCGATGATGTTTGGAACCTTTGGCAGGCCCTGACAGGTGAATCATAGCAGAGGCCTCTGGGATTTTGGAGCAAGGCTCTGCCATCTTCTGAAGATAACTAGTCTCCTTTCGAGAGACAGCTCTTGGCCTGTTAGAAACTGAACATTTGACTATGGGTCACCAAGTCACCATGTGACATGAACTGCATATCATGAACTGGGTGTTTGCTGACCCATCTACCCATAAAGTGGGAGGGGTGTGCACAGCAGCATTCCATCATCAAATGAAGCGGTACGTATGTGATCCGGCTCGAGCAGGTTCTGAAGGCACAAGTAAGTTACATGAGGAAGTGACTCAAATGCCCATGGTCCCCACTCCTGCCACCCTGCCTTCTCTCTCCCAGCCTGCACCAGTGGCCTCATGGCCCTATGATCAGTTGACAAAGGAAGAGAAGACAAGGGCCTAGTTTACAGATGGCTCTGCACAATATGCAGGTACCACCCATAAGTGGACAGCTGCAGCCCCTTTCTAGGGTATCCCTGAAGGACAGTGGTGAAAGGGAAATCTTCCCAGCGGGCAGAACTTCGAGCAGTGCACCTGGCTCTGCACTTTGCAAGGAAGGAGAAATGGCCAGATGCGCAATTATATACTGACTCATGGGCTGTAGCCAATGGTTTGACTGGATGGACAGGGACTTGGAAGAAGCATGATTGGAAAATTGGTGAACTGGGGAAAGAGGTATGTGGATGGATTTCTCTGACCACAATATGTGGTCAAAAACCATGAAGATATTTGTGTCCCATGTGAGTGCTCACCAAAGAGTGACCTCAGCAAAGGAGGATTTTTATCGTGGATATTTATCAATCAAGACTCATTCTATAGACACCACTCAGCCTCTTTCTCCAGCCACCCCTGTCATCGCCCAATGGGCTCATAAACAAAGTGGCCATGGTGGCAGGGATGGAGGTTACACATGGGCTCAGCAACATGGACTTCCACTCACCAAGGCTGACTTGGCTATGGCCACTGCTTAGTGCCCAATTTGCAAGCAGCAGAGACCATCACTGAGCCCTCGATATGACACCATTCCTCAGGGTGATCAGCCAGTTTCTTGGTGGCAGGTTGATTACATTGGACCTCTTCCATCATGGAAAAGGCAGAGGATTGTCTTCACTGGAATAGACACTTACTCTGGACGTGGGTTTGCCTATCCTGCACGCAACGCTTCTACCAAGACTACCATCCTCGGACTCAACGGAATGCCTTATCCACCATCATGGTATTCCACACAGCATTGCCTCCGACCAAGGCACTCACTTTACGGGCTAAAGAAGTGCAGCAGTGGGCACATGCTCATGGAGTTAACTGGTTTTACCATGTTTCCCATCATCCTTAAGCAGCTGGATTGATAGAACAGTGGAATGGCCTTTTGAAGTCACAATTACAATGCCAACTAGGTGACAATACTTTGCAGGACTGGGGCAAAGCTCTCCAGAAGGCCGTGTATGCTCTGAATCAGCATCCAACTTATGGTACTGTTTCTCCCATAGCCAGCATTCACAGATCCAGGAATCAAGGGGTGGAAGTGGATGTGGCACCATTCACCATCACCCCTAGTGACCCACTAGCAAAGTTTTGCTTCCTGTTCCTGCAACATTATGTTCTGCTGGCCTAGAGGTCTCAGTTCTAGAGGGAGGAATGTTGGCACCAGGAGACAAAATAATAATTCTGTTAAAGTGGAAGACTGCCAACTGACCACTTTGGGCTCCTCTTGCCTCTAAGTCCACAGGCTAAGAAGGGAGTTACAGTGTTGGCTGGGGTGATTGACCTGGACTATCAAGATGAAATCAGACTACTACTCCACAATGAAGGTAATAAAGAAGAGTATGCATGGAATATAGGATCCCTTAGGGCATCTCTTAGTATTACCATGCCCTGTGATTAAGGTCAATGGGAAACTACAATAGCCCAATCCAGGCAGGACTGCAAATGGTCCAGACCCTTCAGGAATGAAGGTTTGGGTCACTCCACCAGGTAAAAAACTACAACCAGCTGAGGTGCTTGCTGAAGGCAAAGGGAATACAAAATAGGTAGCAGAAGATAGTTATTAATACCAGCTACAGCCACGTGACCAATTGCAGAAACAAGGATTGTAATTGTCACGACTATTTCCTCCTTATTTTGTTAAAAATGTTTGTGCATGTATACACTTGTACTAAGAAAACATCTTCATTAATTTCCTTTCTTTTTCCATTATCATGTGACATAAGATTTATTGATTTTATATCAGCATTTAAATGTTGTTAACTTTATGTAATAGCATTTAGGTTAAGGATTAGTGTGCTTCTGGTTGTATGAAGGATAGCTGTATTACGTTAGGTGTAATTATGACCTTATTATTTCCTTTATTTGGAGATTAAATATGATTTCAGGAGATGTGTATGGGTTCAAGTTGACAAGGGGTTCAAGTTGACAAGGACTTGTGATGTTAATATATCAACCTGATCAGATTGAAGGATGCCTAGATAGCTGGTAAACTTGTTCCTGGGTGTGTCTGTGAGGGTGTTGCCAGAGGAGATTAAAATTTGAGTCCGTGGACTGTGAGTGGCAGACCCACCCTCAATGTGGGTGGACACCATCTAACAGCTGCCAGTGTGGCTAGAACAAAACAGGCAGAAGGTGGGATAAGTTGGCTTGCTGAGTCTTCTGGCTTTCATCTTTCTTCTGTTCTGGATGCTTCCTGCCCTTGGACATCAGACTCCAGGTTCTTTGGCCTTTGGACTCTTGGAGTTACACGAGTGGTTTGCCAGGGGCTCTCGGGCCTTTGGCCACAGACTGAAGTCCGCACTGTCAGCTTCCCTGCTTTTGAGGCTTTTGGACTTGGACTGATCTACTATTGGCTTCTTTCTTCCTCAGCTTGCAGATGGCCTATTGTGGGACTTTGCTTTGTGATTGTGTGAGTCAATTCTCTTTAATAAACTCCCTTTCATATATACATATATCCTATTAGTTATGTCCCTCTAGAGAACCCTGACTAATACATTCTCTCTCTCCCAGGGGCCACAGGCTTGCAGGCCTACCTGGCCAGGGAGATGATCTAAATCTGCCTGAGAGGCAGGAGGTGAGGAGCCGGTGCTGGAGGTGCGGTGGCCCTGCCTGGGAGCACCAGCGGCTCCAGTTGCTGCAGCAAGGAGAATGGGGGCCTGGGGCTGCAAGACGGTTTGAAGAGATGTGGGCATCAGCATTTTTTATGCGTCATCTCGTGTGTGTGTGTGTGTGTGTGTGTGTGTGTGTGTGTGTGTGTGTGTGTGTGTTTTGAACATTGGAGCCATAAAACTTCAGATTAAAGAAAAACTGCAGGACTTAAAACCCACCGGCAGCTCAGGGCTGGCCTGCAGGCCTGTAACTGGTGCAGTTTCCAGCTTGTGCTGCCTGTGACTGCGGCAAGCCTCCACTGCACGCCCCATGGACACGGTCTCTGTCTGTGGCTGCAGCCCTGAGTGCCACAGAGGTCCCTCCCCATTGACAGGGCTGTCTGGCTCTGAGTCTGTGCGCTCCTGTGGGGCAGGCATCAGCTTCAGGACCTGGTTTTCCTTCATAACTGCTCTCTGAGGGTAGCGGCTGGCCAGAAATCCTTTGCCGAATGGATCCTGGAATCCAGCCCCAGTCCCTGGGCCTCTCCCCACTGGAGCCACTCGCCACTGCCAGGCTGGCTACCAGGGTACATTCTTCTTCCCTTGACTTTCTGTCCCAAGCCTGGAAGGCATCCAGAAGGCTCCTCCTAGCACCAAGGAACCCAGAGAGCAGGAGAATGGAGCAGCAGGGTCACAGCCTGGCTTGCAGGGCCCGTTCCTGGCAACTGCCACACTCAGCCGTAGGTTTCCAAACACAGCCCAGAACAGCTGCAACCCCTTCTCAGGCCTTCTCTGGTTGGTCTATGTGCAAATTAGCAACCTGCCTCTGTCCATAACCCAGCACCCCATGTAGACACAGTGGCTCAGGGGTCCCATCATTCCAGGGAGCCCCTGCCTCCTCCAGACCTTGGTGTGGCCTCTGGAGGGGACAGTAGAGCCACAGCTTCCTACAGGAACCAAGTTCACATACTAGAAGGGCCAGGTGGAAGAGCAGTTCTGCTGGTTTTGGGCTTCAATGAAGAAAGATGGGATTTCTTTTCCTACACAGAAACACCCTGAGCAGAAACAGAAAGAGATCTTCTGTGCCCACTGATATATGTATGTCTTGCCCAGTGTGTCATTGTCCAGAGCCATGGGTGGTGGAAGGCGGGAAGTGCAGGCTCCCTGCCTGCTTCTACAGAAGCTCTGGGCCAAAGGCCTCTGCTGAGAGCATCCAGCGCTGTATGCTTCTCCACCCTGGCCACACACTCCGATCATTGGGTGAGGCTTCAACACACCCAGACCAAGGAAATCCATGGCACTGAAGGTGGAGAAAAAAAGAAAAAAAAAAAAGCATGAAGTTTTCTTAAAGCTCCAGCTCTCCAGTGAGTTTCCTGCCTTGGTACTCCTAGAGACATTGTGTGGGCAGCTCAGGGGCCTGCAACCCTGCCTGAGGCAGAGCTCCAGGGACTTGCAGGGTCAAAGGTGCCTGGGGCAAGCTTCCCAGCATCCCAGTCTGCACACTGGCCTCAATGGGTGTGAGTGACTAAGGCTGGGAGGAAAGGAAGGCCACTGAGTTTCCAGGTCCCTGCTCCACTGGGAAGGGTCTTCTCTGGACTCTCTACCTACAGCCTCCTTCAGCAGCAAAGCTGGCTAGAGTTGCCGGGGGATACCTGCACAGCCTTAAGGCCCAAGAAACGAGTCCTAACTCATGTGTCCCCTGAAACTGAGTAAAAATTTCTGGCCCCCACCCTGATTCAGAGCCCAGAGTTCCAGAAATGTGTGTGCAGCAGGAGGCTCAGCGCCAGGACTCAGGAGCTCTCAGCCCGGGGGAGCCCTGGTCTCCTGTGCTCCCTCTGTCTCCTGTGCTGGGTGAGGCCTCAAGGCCAGCATGGCTGCTGGGAGGGCTGACAACAAAAGGGCCACCAGCTTGGGGCTCAGAGACACATGGGAAGGGGGCAGATGCAGAGGCAGCTGGCGTTTTTGTGAGGCGAAGCCTCATTTTCAAGTTCATGGGCTTTAGGCACTCATTGATCTTTGACTTTTTTTCACTCAGCAGTTTCCTTTTTTTCAATTAAAAAAGTATAAAACTTGCATAAAATTTACCATCTTGTGTCAATTCCAGCATCATTAAATACATTCACAATGTTGTGCAAACATCACCACTGTTTACTTCCAAAACTTCCATCATCCCCAACAGACATTGTGTACCCTTTAAAGAGTAATTCTCCATTCCCCTCCCCGCACTCTGTTCTACTTTTTGTCTCTTATGAATTTTCCTATTCTAGGTACTTCCTAAAAGTGGAATGATAACAATATTTGTCCTTCTGTTTCAGGCTTATTTCACTTAGAATAATGTTTTTTCTTTTGAGATAGGATCTCGCTCTGTTGCCCAGGCTGGAGTGCAGCAGCACAACCACAGCTCACTGCAGCCTCTCTAGGCTCAAGCAATCCTCCTGCCTCAGCCTCCAAGTAGCTGGGACTACAGGCGCATGCCACCACACCTGGCTAATTTTATTTTTTGTAGAGATAGGGTCACACTAAGTTGCCTAGGCCAGTCTTGAACTCCCGGGCTCAAATTATCCTCCCACCTTGGCCTCACAAAATGCTGGGATTACAGGTGTGAGCCGCTGCACTCGGCCTTGGAATAATGTTTTGAAGTCTCATCTATACTGCAGCATGACTCAGAATCTTACTCTCTTTTTTTTTGAGACAGAGTCTAGCTCTGTTGCTGAGGCTGGAGTGCAGTGGCATGATCTCGGCTCACTGCAACCTCTCCCTCTCCGGTTCAAGCGATTCTCCTGCCTCAGCCTCCGGAGTAGCTGGGATTACAGGTGCGTGCCACCACGCCCAGCTAATTTTTGTATTTTTAGTAGAGACGGGGTTTCACCATGTTGGCCAGGATGGTCTCGATCTCTTAACCTCGTGATCCACCCACCTCAGCCTCCCAAAGTGCTGGGCTTACAGGCATGAGCCACCACGCCTGGCCTTACTCCTTATGAATAATATTCCATTCTACATACATATCACATTGTGTTTATCCATTCCTCTGTTGATGAACACTTGTTTCCACTTTTTGGCTAATGTAAATAATGTTACCACGAACATGGGTGTGCAAGTATCTCTGAATCCCAGCTTTCATTTCTCTTGGGTACACATCTCAAGAGGGGAGTTGCTGATCCCAGGGTAATTCCATGTTTATCTTTTTGAGGAATCACCAGGCTATTGTCCAAAGTGGCTGCACTGTTTTACATTCCCACCAGTAAAACACGAGGGTTCTGATTTCTCCACATCTTCACTAACACTTGCTGTTTTGTGTGTTAAGTAGCTCAGTGTGGTTTTGATTCGCATTTTCTGGTGGACTGACAGTGATCATTGTATTTTCTTTGGAGAAATATATATTTAAGTCCTTCACTCATTTTTGAATCACTTTTTAAAATTGAGTTATAGGACTTCTTTCTATATTCTGGATATTAATCCCTTATGAGATATATGGTGAGTTTTTACTCTCTTTGTAGTGTCCTTTGATGCACAAAAAATTTTAATTTTCATGATGTCCAATCTGTTTTCTTTTGTCGCCTGTGTTTTTAGAGTCGTATCAAATAAATCACTGCCAAATCCAATGTCATGAAGCTTTCCCCCTATTCAAAGAGTTTTACAGTTTTAGCTCTGACACTTAGGTCTTTGATCCAGTTCAAGTTAGTTTGTGTATATGGTGCAAGGTTAAGACTCCAACTTCATTCTTTGCAGATGGGTATGGGTATCCATATCCCAGCACAATTTGATGAAAAAACTGTCTTTTCCCCATTGAATGGTCTTGGCACCCTTGTCAAAAATCAACTGATCATAGATGTGAGGGTAGTTTCCTTTTACCCAGGAGTGCAGCTAGAGAATCAAGTGACTTAACAAAATCTTGATGATCTCTCCAAGACAACCTAAGTTAACGTCTAGAGTTGGAGGATCCTGTTCTATGGCAAGGAATGAAATTTGGCAAGAAGTTTCCCTGTCCTTCCACAACAGTACCCCAGCAGGCATTCCTATGAGTGCAGAGATGACTAGGGACCCAGGGTACTTTTACAAACTGCAAGCCAAGCTTGCTTCTGAAAGCAGAAGCAACAGATACCAATGGAAACCCAACTACTGAATTCACCACCTCTGTTCGATGGGCCATCCAGAGTGGCCTTTTCCTTCTCTAAGCTAGGGATTTTCTATATAGCCTTTACCCTTTCTCTTTCCTGGCATAAAGTAGGGAGTAATAATACACCCACGGACTATGATTAGACCCCAAAAAGCTAACAAAATTCCAGTTCTGGCTCCCTTCCATGAAACTACAACAAAAATGAGCAAAAAGGGGTATCTTTAGCCCTGCAGTGTGAATGGAGGAAGGACTTCTGGCAAAGGAAAGGGGTACTGTGAGGAAGGGCATTGTGAAGGCACATGGTTCCTTTCCTCAAAGGAAAGAGGTTGGGACAGGATGTGCCATGCTGGCAGTTTTGGGTTCCCCTCCAGACTTCCAGTATCTTCTACCTGGCCAGGAAACTCAGGACATGGAAACTTGGTAGTCACCGTGGACCGGGCCGAGCTCACTTGGCAGAGCAGCAGCACTCAGCACACCACACCCCAAAGCCTGGTCTCTTGGAGCACACGCATTCCACTCAGAAGCTGCCGGGCCACCCTCAGACATAAATTAGTTTCTTAGCATGGGAGCCAGGCAAGCAAGTTTAAATAAGGTGGGTCCTCAATTAGTGGTCACTATGAGAAATTCGGGAGTGTGATCCAAGTGTTGCACTTTCTTCCAATTTTTAAAAGACAAACTAGAGTTGGATTTTGTGTGCTATCTTCCCATTTACAAATATTGGTTGGAAGTATGTAGGAAAAGTGGGTCAAACAAAATCTGTGCAGTGTTGCAACTCAGTGGCGGTGGTGGTGGGGAAGGCTAGAGCATACATTTGAGATCTTTTTTTTTTTTTTTTTTTTTTTTGAGATGGAAGTCTCACTCTGTTGCCCAGGCTGGAGTGGCACTATGTCTGCTCACTGCAAGCTCCGCCTCCAGGTTCACACCATTCTCCTGCCTCAGCCTCCCGAGTAGCTGGGACTACTGGCGCCCGCCACCATGCCTGGCTAATTTTTTGTATTTTTAGTAGACACGGGGTTTCACCGTGTTAGCCAGGATGGTCTCGATCTCCTGACCTCGTGATCTCCCGCCTAGGCCTCCCAAAGTGCTGGGATTACAGGCGTAAGCCACCACGCCCGGCCGAGATCTTTAATTTTTTTTAAGGCCAAACTTTTTCCTGTCTCTTAGCAACCAGCTGTGGACCTTACACATTTGTGGTTCATAAAATATTTAGGGAAATATTTTTATACCAGTTCAACGCCAGCTACACATTAGAATCACCTGGAGGGGTTTTAAAAGCATACCTGAGCCACACTCCGGCACTGTCAAGTTCAGTAAATCAGGTGGGACACAGGCCCTCAGGTGATTCCAACATACAGCTACTCTTAGGAAAAATGAACCTCCCAGCAAGTGCTCAGCTTTCTAGATCTGTTGTTTTCTCCTCTTTACAAAGGGTGGGTTGTACCTCACAAAACTGTTAAAGATTAAAACGAGTCAGGGGAGGGGAAATTTGGAATGAAGCCAGATTTAAGGGAAGAAAAATTAGACAGTGACGGCTATGAGAGCTAAGATGTACATAAGGGAGGTGATAGGGGAGGTGATGTGCTGAGCTGTGTCCCCCTCCAATTCCTATGTTGAGGCCTAAACCCCAGTACCTCAGAGCAAGTGACTGCAGTTGGAGACGGGACCATTAAAGAGGTAACTAAAGTAAAATAAGGTCATATAGTTGGGCCCTAATCGAATCTGACTGGTGTCCATAGAAAGGAGATTCAAACCCAGAACGGCAAAGAAGGGAAGACCATGTGGAGACACCAGGAGAGAGGCATCCACAAGCTGAGGAGAGGGGTTGAGAGGAAACAACCCCGTGGACACCTGGATCTCGGACTTCTATCATCCAAAACCAGGAGAAAAGACATTTCTGCTGTTGAAGCCCTGCAGCCTCGTATTTGTTATGAGAGTCCTAGCAAATGAATACAGGACACGTCCATGAGAAGAGCCAATGGAAAAGAAGGAAGTGGGCGCTGAGATGTGCTGGTGGTTTGGGACACAAGCCAAGGCTCTAAAATGGTCAGCCATGTTC
This sequence comes from Homo sapiens, assembly GCF_000001405.40. NCBI lineage: Eukaryota > Metazoa > Chordata > Mammalia > Primates > Hominidae > Homo > Homo sapiens. The sequence goes on along the minus strand of NC_000003.12, from coordinate 128,818,844 downwards.
AGTACCAGGGTCAATTCAGATCAATGATCATCAAAAAATCAAAGCACATAAGAGTGAAGATAAGAATCGGAGTCAGTGCCAAGGCCAATTTTTTGGGTAAGATCATTTCAATGTTGGGGTGGGTCAAAGTATGGATGTCTGTGTTCAAAGGATAGTTAAGATCAGGATCCAAGTAAAGTTCAAGGTCATTGTCCGTACAATGGCAGGATGAAGGTAAGGCAATTTCAGAGTCAGGTAGGGCAAGTTCAGGATGATTATGTCAAACTGAGGATCCATGGTAGGGTCAAGGTCAAGTGCAAAGTCAAGTAAAAAAAAAAACACAAACTAAGACATGGCTAGAATGATGTTCAAGGTGATAATCAGAGTCGGCCTCAAAGTCATGTCAAGGTCCAAATGGCTCAAGCTCAAGGTAAAGTTGAAACGTAGGGTCAGAATGCTGGTCAGCACCAGGACAAGGGTTGGGTCCAACGTCATACCAAGGCTAAGGATTAGAGCCAAGAGGATGAAGGTCATTTTAAGGCCAGAGCAGTTCAAAGGCAGACTATCATCAGTGGCAGGATGAATAAGGTTAAGGATAACTTAAGAATGGTTAAGGTCAGCTAGATTCAGGTATAAACTTAGGGGAGGTATAAACTTATGGCCAGGACAATGTTCAGGGTTGGCTTCAGATTCAGATTCAGGGCCATGAAAAGCACCAGTGTACTGGATTCAAAATCAATCAAAGTCAGTTTCAAGGACAAGTTTAAAATGAGGGCAAAACATGGTCAGGGTGATGGTTAGGGTGAGGACAAGGGTCAGAATTAGGGCTAGATTCAAATTCAAGGTCAAGTTCATGCTTATTTCAGCTTAAGGTCAGGATGACTGCATATGAGATTCAAGATCAGGATCAATACGCCTGTAATCCCAGCACTTTGGAAGGCCAAAGTGAGCGAATCATTTGAGGTCGCGAGTTTGAGACCAGCCCAGCTCACATGGTGAAACCGCCTACTAAAAAATACAAAATTTAGCTAGGTGTGGTGGTGCACACCTGTAATCCCAGCTACCCAGAAGGCTGAGGCAGGAGAATCGCTTGAACCTGGGAGGCGGAGGTTGCGGTGAGCCAAGATCACGCCACTGCACTCCAGCCTGAGCCTCCGTCTCAAAAAAAAGAAAAAAGTCAAGGTCAGGACACATGGGTCAGTTTCAAAGTTAATCCAAGGTTACCTCAAGGGGATCACGGTCAGGATGATTGTTAAGTGTAAATCGATTAGAATGAGTCTCATGTGGTAATGAAAAGAATCCATATTAGTACAAGTACATCCAGTCTCAATCATTTGATTCATGCAACTCCTAATTGCATGCGAGTGACAACTGAGAGGAAGGTAAGCAGGACACACACATTCCTCTCTAGGGCACATTCTTACTGCAAGGTAGAGTGAACCAAGATGCACCTACTTCATGCTATTGGAAGGCATCATTTTCAGTGCAAAAAAGCTTAGTCTCAGACATTTATCTTAAGGTGAAATCTTATTGCAGGTCAGTGTTAACTGATATCAATGTAAGCAATGCAATACACATTAACCTCAAAGGCATATTCTTACTAAAAGATGAGAGGAATCAGAATGAACCTGAGTAGGAGTTTGGATGAGAATTCCTGTTAGTACAACAAACTCAGGCATTCTTATTAAAACCAACTCCTCATAGCTTATTGAGGGAGATGACAGTCGGCACAGCAACACACTCACATGCAGGCAGAATAAGCTGGGATCAGAGGAAGGAGTACTACTGAAACAAGTACATACTAGTACAACAAACTCATTCCCAGACGTCCTTTCCAAAACTTTTTGTGTGTGTGTGTGTGTGTGTGTGTGTGTGTGAGATGGAGTCTCACTCTGTTGCCCAGGCTGGAGTGCAGTGGCGCAATCTTGGCTCATTGCAACCTCTGTCTTCCAGGTTCAAGCGATTCTCCTGCCTCAGCCTCCCAAGTAGCTGAGGCTACAGGTGCCCACAACCACGCCCGCCTACATTTTGTATTTTTATTAGAGATGGGGTTTTGCCATGTTGCCCAGGCTGGTCTCAAACTCCTGGCCTCAGGTGATCCACCCACCTTGACCTCCCAAAGTGCTGGGATTACAGGTGTGAGCCAGTGTGCCTCGCCAAAAATAACTTCTGAATATTTGTTAGCGCAAACTGAGATGGATGCAAACCCAGCAACACACTCATCTCTCATTCTCACCTCAAGGCAAATATGAATGAACCCAAACAATCCATAGTACTGCAGACAAACTCAGTCCCAGATATTCTTCACAAAAGTAAATCCTTACTGCTTATTCCAGCAAAATGACAAGTTCCCCTCTTTTGAGAGAAAACACATGCTTATGCTGAATCTAAATAGGAATATAGAAAAAGGCACTGTGATGACTCTTAATGAGCATTAAGAGTCATCACCACTCCCTAATCTCAAGTACCCAGGGACACAAATGCTGCGGAAGGCCGCAGGGTCCTCTGCCTAGGAAAACCAGAGACCTTTGTTCACTTGTTTATCTGCTGACCTTCCCTCCACTATTGTCCTATGACCCTGCCAAATCCCCCTCTGAGAAACACCCAAGAATGATCAAAAATAAATAAATAAATAAATAAAATAAAATAAAAAAATAAAAAAAAGAAAAAGGCACTGTGTTGATGCAGAGCTCAGTCTCAGCCATGGCTCCCTATTGTGGTTAAGCTGAATCCCTTAGATGAACATTATACAATTTAGGGTTAAAATATGACACCAAGCTCAGCCATCAGGCTGATGGGACATGAGACTAATTAGTCCCAGGTCAGAGAGTAAGACCTATTGTCATGGTAGGGTTCCATGTTAACTTCAAAGTCAGGTGATGATTAGGGTCAGGAGGTGGGTCAGAGTCAAGGTCATTCAGCAGTGAACGTGTTTAGGGTAAAGTCAAAGCCAGTTCAAAGCCAAAGCCATTAAAATTAGGGTAAGTTATGATAAGGACAATGGTTGAAATCAGTCAATTAAAGATTACATTCATCTCAAGCTAAAGCAGGTTAATATCAGGATGATCATCAGTTTTAGGATGAAGGTCAAGCAGGTCAGAAGTCAAGGTCCATTTTAATGTCACATACAAGGTCAAGACCAGTGGAACACAATCAGAGGAATAGATGCCTGATTTGCAGAGGTGAGCATCACACAAGGGTCCACACCCTGTGGCCCAGTCACTGGGCCCCAAGCTGGAGAGAACTCTGCTCCTCTAGAGGACAAACACCTGATGAGGCCCAAGCAAAATATAGGACCAGAGAAGATTTAAGCCACCCAGCCAGGGTGGAATTGCACTGTGGATAATCTCACATTGTGCAGCATCTGAACTTCTAAACTATGCTATTTTTAACACATAAAGTACATGCCAAGAGGAGCCACGAGGAAAGAAACCAGCTGAGGAGCCTGAGAAGTGGAAATGTAGAAAAGTGTAGCAAAGTAGAATTCAAGATCTAACTCAATGAGGCACTTCTGCAAAACCTAAAGTGACTCACGACCTGAACTACTACTATTTTAATAAAATTGCTTCTAAGTGGCAACTATTCCATTCCAGGTGGGGGCTTACATATGTTGGAATACAGGGCCTCTGCTGCCAAATCTTCCTCTCCTGTGACAAATGCAGAATTACACATCTAAGTGTTAGCAACTAGGTCAACTAAAAATAAAACACATAACACATGACTAGGTTACAGTTACACCTACAGGATATGCATGGCTCAGAGTCCCCAGCAGTTTCTGGCTGCTCTCCTAAAGGGACAATGCGTTCTCCATCCATGGTCCTCAACCTCCAACAATGTGATTAAAATACACCCACCCCCGCCCCCGGAAAAAAAAACAAACAAAAAAAAACTAGGGACAGGCACTACAGGACCAGATATGAGAGGGCCTTTCTGCCTTGAAGCACCACACGTGCCCATTTATGGAGGGCTCTCTTGCTTGATAAGGCATTGACTATGATTAGCTCATGTGGTCTCTACTGAGCCAAGGCTCTTGAAGAAGGAAAAAAAGACTCTGGCAAAGGCAGATGATCATTGTTCTTGTTCAATTTTATTGGCATTGCGTTCATCTCTTTACAGAAGAACTCAGCCCACACCCTAGAATGTAGACCTTTGGAAAAAGGAGAAGTGCTCCGTTAAGCAAGCTACAATGCAGGGGCAGATCCTAGGAAGGGAGCAGAACTGCCAGGGTTCCAACCAAAGAAAGAGGTTAATTAATAATGGGCAATATTGGGGAGATGGGTGGGGAAAAGAGGAAAAAGCTCCGCTAACCTAAGAATACCACAACCCTGAAAGGAGCGCCTTCTAGAACAAAGGTAAAATCACTAGGACAGATCTGTTAGGGTTTTCCTTTCACTCTTGTAGTAGAATGCTGATCTAACGGGAGTTTTGAAGTGTGGAGCAGGGGGGAAAAAAAAGAAAGAAAATGAGAATTTTAATTTTTGAAATAACGGCAATTTATCCATTGCACATACCACTGTATTATGCAAATCAACGTTTTGGAAAATTTAGACACAGAAGGGAACTAGACAGTTTTCCCCCTGGAGAGATGAAAAGCTTTTTGGCTCTTAAGTCTTTGATAAAAGGCGTACATAATTCTTGTGTCTACTGTACAGAATACTGCCGCTAGCTGGATTTCCCAATTCTGAGTAACACTCTGCAATCCAAACAGGGTTCAACCCTCCACCTTACAGGCCTGCATTACAGGACTTAAACACATAATCCAAGAATTTCTTACACTAATTTATACATTTTAATTGGTTGCATATATTAACATGTACTATAAGATTCTTTTCTAAGAAGCATTACATAATAAATGGATACTGTAAAAAGATCTGATTAGTTAAAAGTAACAAGCATTAACAGATAGATACATACAAAACTCAGCCTGATCAGACTGGGTGTGAGCCTGTAATGGGGCATGGGGCACCAGCCTTCCCAAGGGGTAGCCTTCAAGGAGGGAGGGGAAAGGGGGGGTAAAAAGACCACAAGACCAATAAAAAAAATCAGATAATTAGACACAGATTAACTGTAAACAGTTCTCTCTCTCTCCAGTGAACAAAAAGAATAAGCTTCCAATGCCAACTCCATATCAGAATGACTTCCACCGCTGGCTTGTCCTGCTGCCATACTCGCGGGCTCATGTGGGTGGGCAGGCAGACCCCAAGGAGCCATCACGGGCAAGGGCTGGAGTTTGATTACGTCAGATCTGTGTGTGTGTGTGTGCGTGTGTGTGTGTGTGTGAGAGATATGTGGGGTGTAACTGTGTTTGATGGGGTTTTCTTTTGGCAGCTGGATGTGAGAGATCAATGTATGTTTTGTTTGGAAGAGGAGAGGGGAATTGTGTTGAAGGCCTACGTGTGTTCTTGGTTTGTGAAGGACTCTGTGCTCAACTCTCACTGCCCCCTCAGCAACTGCAGCTTTCTGCCGAGGCCTTGGCCCGGTCATTCTTGTCCAGTTTGATAGGTTCAGGAAATTCGTTGTACAGCTCCACCTCCGTTTCCTGGACAAGGAAACAGAGAAAGGTTGGTTACTCAGGGAATAGAAACATTTCAGCCCTCATTGCGGGCACTTTCTGCCCAGGAGGGGCTCACTTCTGCTTGGGCAGAGTGGGCGGGGAGCTGTGAAGCAGAGCCTGCCCACACAGTTAAGGGAGCGCTCTGGCAGAAGGTGCCATGCTCAGGGGAGTAGCAAGAGAAAAACAGATTTTGTGACAACTCCAGGTCAATGTGAAGAGAGGAGTCTTGCCAGAAGAAGCAGCAGTCTGCACTGAGCAATCAGGACAGAAGTTCATGGACATTCTCAATCAGATCATGATCTGGGAGCTCTACCACATCCAGTTCAGATGCTTTCTGTATGTTCCCTATAGTTGCCAATGGTTAACAATGGTCTGGATTTCTAGCTTTTCTCAAACATCTGGCAACCCTCAGCCAGTGTGTGCACGAGGTGAAGTGGCTGGAGCTGAGTGTGAGCTGCCCTCTCAGCCTGTAACATTCCTTCTACCTCCCTATCTTCCATCCACTTTTCGGGACCAATGGCCTCTGGTCTCTTTTTTCTTCCAAAGGTTTAGCAGAGTTTTGTCTCCCAAATGCTGCAGGCCTAGAAAGGAAGCTGTGAATGAATTTTATCACCATCTGTGACAAGTGATCAGAGCACATGGACTATGGTCATTTTAGTGGCACTTTGCTAAAGTAACATGCTTCCAATGAGGAGCAGCATTCTACTTTTGGGTGCAGGAAAACAATGTCACTTAAACACTGAGCACTTGTGTGCCAGTGACTGTTCTAGAATTTGGAGATAAAGCAGGAACTGTTTCTATTCATTAAAAGTTATCTAGGAAAAAAATCATTCCATTCACAATAACTATAAAAGTATAAAACATCTAGGAATACATACTTAAAAAAATAACAGCTTTGGCTGAGCATGGTGGCTCACGCCTGTAATCCCAGCACTTTGGGAGGCTGAAGCAGGTCGACCACCTGAAGTCAGGAGTTCAAGACCAGCCTGGCGAACATGGTGAAACCCCGTCTCTACTAAAAATACAGAAATTAGCCAGGCATGGTGACAAGCACCTATAATCCCAGCTACTCAGGAGGCTGAGGCAGGAGAATTGCTTGAACCCGGGAGGTCAAGGTTGCAGTGAGCCAAGATGGTGCCATTGCACTCCTAATAGCTTTGCTGGGTTTTAACTCACATGCCATGAAGTGTACAATTCAATGGTTTTTAGTATATTCAGAAAGTTGGGCAGCCATCAACATTAAGTTTAAAATACTCTCATCACCCCCCAAAAAACCCTATGCCCATTAGTAGTTCCTTCCCACCCCCATTCTATACCATCCTGGACCCAGCAACCACTCATCTACTTTCTGTCTCAATAGAGTTGCCTATTATTCTGGACACTTAATTTTTAAACATTATTTATTTATTTTAATTTTCCCCATTTCTTCTAGTGGACTGTGATTTCTTTCTTTTTTTTTTTTTGAGGCAGAGTCTTGCTCTGTCGCCCAGGCTGGAGTGCAATGGCATGATCACAGCTCACTGCAGCCTCTAACTCCTGGGCTCACACAATCCTCCAGTCTCAGCCTCCCAAGTAGCTGGAACTATAAGCTCATGCCACCACACCTAGCTAATTTTTAATTTTTAGTAGAGATGAGGCCTTGCTATGTTGCCCAAGATGGTCTCAAACTCCTGGTTTCAAGTGATCCTCCGGCCTCAGCCTCCCAAAGTGCTGTGATTTTAGGCATGAGCCACTGCATCCGGGCTGGACATTTCACTGAAATGGAATCGTACAACATATGGTCTTTTTGCAACTGGCTTCCTTCACTTAGCACCCATGTGGCAGCATGTGTCACTACTTCATTCCTTCTTATAGCTGAATAATATTAGAATGCATGGATAAGCTGCCCTGTTTATTCACTTACCAGTTGATGGACATTTGAGTTGTTCTTACTTTTTGGCTATTACAAATAGTGACATTTTATATTCCCACCAGTACCTAGGAATATGTTTACTGTGAAAGGCAAAGGATCATATTATAAATCAATTATAGCATGGGTGTGCCTGTAGTCCTACCTACTTAGGAGGCTATGGTGGGAAGACTGCTGGAGCCCAGAAGTTGGAGGTTATAGCGAGTGATGATTGCACCACTGCGTATCAGCCTGACTGACAGAGCAAGACCCTGTCTCTAAAAAAAAAAAGAATCAATCAATCTTACTGAAGGAACAGAAACAAGACCTAAAATAGTATCATGGGTGGAATGTTTTGTTTTTTTTTTTGAGATGGAGTTTCGCTCTTGTTGCCCAGGCTGGAGTGCAATGGTGCAATCTCGGCTCACTGCAACCTCCACCTCCCAGGTTCAAGCAATTCTCCTGCCTCAGCATCCTAAGTAGCTGGGATTACAGGTGCCCACCACCACGCCAGCTAATTTTTTGTATTTTTAGTAGAGATGGGGTTTCACAATGTTGGCCAGGCTGGTCTTGAACTCCTGACCTAAGGTGATCCACCCGCCTCAGCCTCCCGAAGTGCTGGGATTACAGGCATGAGCCACCGCACTCGGCTGGGCAGAATGTTTGTGTTCCTCCAAAATTCCTGTGTTGAAGCACTAACCCTTCAGGTGGCTGTATTTGGAGTAAGGAAGGAATGAAGGTTAAATGAGGTTGCAGGATGGGGACCTGATCTGAGAATTCGTGTCCTTATAAGAAGAGGTGACACCAGAGACACCTTGCTCATGTGTCCTCTCTCTGTGCACACAGCAGAAAGGGCATGGGAGGGACACAGTGAGAAGATAGCCCAGAAAAGCACCCTCACCAGAAACATGTGCCAGCACCTTGCTCATGGACTTCCAGCCTCCAGAACTGTGAGAAAACAAAATGTCTGTTGTTGGACCCTCCCAGGCTGTGGGGTTTTGTTAACGCAGCCTGAGCAGACTAATGCAACAGCCACAACAAAACTGCAATCAATGAGGAAAAAACAGTGGGCTTGAAGAAAAAAATTCCAATCAAAATCTCAACAGAGTTTTATTTGGGGTGTGGAAGGTAAGAGAGGAAAATGGTGGAAACAAAATTATTAAAAAAGAAATGTGGCAGGCCGGGTGCGGTGGCTCATGCCTGTAACCCCAGCACTTTGGGAGGCTGAGGCGGGCGGTTCACAATGTGAGTTCCAGACCAGCCTGGCCAACATGGTGAAACCCTATCTTTACTAAAAAATTACCAAAATTAGCTGGGCATGGTGGCGGATGCCTGTAATCCCAGCTACTCAGGAGGCTGAGGCAGGAGAACCGCTTGAACCTGGGAGGCGGAGGTTGCAGTGAGCCGAGATCACGCCATTGCATTCCAGCCTGGGGAACAGAGCAAGACTCCGTCTCAAAAAAAAAAAAAAAAAAAAAAAAAAAAAAGACTGTGGCAAGAGGAAACTTGCCTCATCAGGCAGTCAAATCAACACAGTCCAGATAAGGGAACATGGCATGGACATCACCAGAACAGACTGGAGAGACCAGAAACAGATCCCAGCACATACGAGCATTTAGCACAGGCCACGGTCTATTCAGGGAGGGAAACGGCTTGTGTAACATAGCTGAATGATTTCAAACAACTGGCTGAGCTCTCTTGAGAGGAAAGGCAAGTCTCTCTTTTCTGCCATAAGCCAAAACAAATTCCAGCTGAATTACAGAAAAATCTGAGGTAGACACAGGAAACATAGAAACTTAAAATGACATAACCAAATAAAAAATTACTTTTTCCCTATGTTCAAAGGACTTAAAAAGACCACAGAGTTGGAAAAGTCACTTAAGATGCAAGTAGAGTTAACTTCAATTCACCAACAGCTCATGAGAACTGAGAGAGGCCCAACCATGTGCTGTGTGCCGGCTGTGTGCAGCAGAGAAAATCCAAATGGCTAAGCCCCAGGGAGGGGAACTCAGAGGGACCAGTAGTCACGATGGTGGCAATTTACACACCCAAAGATCGGCAATGTCAGCAGTGACAGGTGACACCTATTGCTTGCTGGCAAGGAGGTAGAAGAAAGCAAGCCCACATTGCTGAAATGTTATTCCCCTTGGGGAAAGCAACCTGGCACCCTGACTTACAATAAGATACACCCTCCGATTTAACAATCTAACTTCTTAAGGGCTAGCTCTAAAAATAAAAGCATAAAGACAACAGGGACAGTAGTGATGGAAGAGAAAAACTCAGACAGTGATGCCAGGCAACAGGGAACAGGTGGGAAACACTTTCCTACACATATTTGGATTTCCATTCCCTTATATGAACATTAAGAAAAACACAAACATTATTATTTGGGGGTAAGCGTGGCCAAGTCTGCATCTTGGTCTGCTCCTTACCACTTGAGGGCTCTCCTGGCATTCTGGGTGGAACAATTTCCTCATTGAGTAGATCTGTCCCTTTCATTCTGGAACACTTAGTGCAGACCCCACCCATGCCAGAATTTCCCTGGTCCTTGGAGCAACCATTACAAACAACTCTTTGTCCTGCTGAAAGCCATTACCTTCATTCAGCCGGCTTCCTGGAGTCAGCAGAATCTGCCTTGCCCTTCACAGCCACCATGTGCTTCAAGTGTTCTATGCATCCTCCCAAACCTGCCACACCTCTGACCACCCCCAGACACTGTCTGATGAGGCCTCGTGACCTGCCTTAATCACCACTGCCCCTAACAGAGCTGTACATCAAAACAGACTTTCAACTCGCATGAGTGGTTGTATCTAATCACAGAAACAGTAAATAAGAAATTCTAGGTATTATATTCCTTGAATAGTTTTCCTACATCTTCTTCCTTCTTTGTGTTGTTTACTTAACTGTTCCTAAGGAAAAAAGTTACCAGTCAGTATGTGAGAGCTGGAAGAGTCTGTCTCATTTAATCTTCATAATCACCCTGCAAAAGCAGGTATTCCCATTTTTCAGGTGAGGGGGTAGAAGTTCAGATATAATTTTTTTTATTTTAATTTTTAATTTTTTTTAGACAGAGTCCCACTCTGTCACCCAGGATGGAGTACAGTGGCACGATCTTGGCTCACTGCAACCTCTGCCGCCTGGGTTCAAGCAATTCTCCTGCCTCAGCCTCCCGAGTAGCTGGGATTACTGGCGACCACCACCAGGTCTGGCTAATTTTTTTGTATTTTTTAGTGGAGAGGGGGTTTCACCATGTTGGCCAGGCTGGTCTCGAACTCCTGACCTCAAGTGATCAGCCCGCCTTGGCCTCCCAAAGTGCTAGGATTACAGGCATGAGCCACAGTGCCCGGCCATAATTTTTTTTTAAGCCCAAACTAGATATAACGATTGGTACGCAGCAGAGCTGGGATTCATATTCAAGTTTATTTCCTCCTTAAATAGAAGCAGCAATCTGTTCGGGGTCTCCCAGTGACCTGATCTCCTAATCACAGCAAAGAAAATAAGAACAAGCCTAGTAAAAGAAGGGCAGCCTCAGACTTCACAGCCTCTGCATCTTTTATATTATTCCCCCCAAAGTGGGATTTCTGGAAGCTTAAGCAGAACATGTCATAACCTTCCCAGATGAACACATAGGGTATTCTGGCTATACAGAAAAGAGTGGGTTAGGGAAGAAGATTAAGGGCAGGAGGCCAGGCAGGGACTGGGTCAGTGGTCAGGCATCACCAGAGTGGGCTGGTCAGCTGTGGGAGACCCACCTGCTTAAGTGCATTCCGTGCAATCGTCTGGAACGCCTGCTCCACGTTGATGGCCTCCTTGGCACTGGTCTCAAAGTAGGGAATGTTGTTTTTGCTGTAGCACCAGGCCTGTGCCCGCTTTGTGGCCACCTGAAAGAAGAAGCAGGGTGCACATAGGCTCATGACAGAAGCAGCCAGCACTGACTCCATCCTCCCCAGGAAGTGTCATGGCCCCTCGTCTACAGGTAGTACAGGTGAGGACACAGACATGGGGAAAGAGGGTGTTGGAGGAGACCTGCAGACCCGTCCAAACTTGTCCTGCTAGCTATGCTCAGGATAGCTAGGATTCAGCTAGAGAGCTCAAAGCCTGTCTCGGTCTACAGCTCATACCTTCTGACCCTCAGTTATACTTAAAAGCCATTTGTGAATGGAGTAAGAAGCCAGTCCGGGAAGAAATGAAGAGTGTTTACTGGGACCTCAGAGATCCCAGGACAGGAAATGCCCAGCAGCTTGGTCTTAAGGTTTATAGTCCCTTCACCATTACTGCTAGTGTGATGTCACCTATGCCACTCACACATTCTCATTCCTTCCCCAACCCCTAGCCCATTTTCAGCCAAGAGATAAGGACTAAGTCACTTAAGAAAAGATCTGTGGTCAGAAATAAACCTAGTTGTAATTAATCAAAGAGTCTATGTTTCCAACAGAAATGGTATTTGAAACTACAGTACAGCAATTTTACTCAAAGCCCAAAGCAATATTCTGCACACATGGAGATCCAGGCATGGCCTGGAGGTACTGGGAGGGCACTACTGAGAATGACAAAACCGAATTCCCTCCTTCAAAGTGCAGAAAGGGAAGTGAAGCTGAGACAGCCAAGACAATGGCCCAAAGTCACAGCCAGCTGGGGGCAGGATGGGGACTTAACCCAGGTCACCTGGGTCCCGGTCCTTAAAGGCAGTTGGCCTGAAGGGCTGGCATATGGTAATGAAGACTCCCACCAGCACCTCCTAGAGCCATGTGAGCTTAGCAGAGAACCCTCCAAATTCACAAGGCCCCTGGGGAGCAGGTGTCTGTGACAATATCTATCATCGTTGGTACTTACTTGTCTGTTTTCGAGGTCAATCTTGTTTCCCAACACAACAAATGGGAAGTTTTCAGGATCTCGGGGACTGGCCTGGATGAGAAACTCATCTCTCCAGCTATCTAGGGTTTTGAATGTGTTGGGGGCAGTCACATCAAATACCAGAACGCAGCAGTCTGCACCTCTGTAGAAGGCCACACCGAGAGACTGGAACCGTTCCTGTCCTGCTGTGTCCCATATCTGTGAGAGACAAAACATTCATTCCTTGGGAGAATGCTAGGCAGAGCACCAGGAGCATGTATGCAAGGGGTGCCAGAAGAAATAGGCTAGATTGTGGGGCCACCCACAAAGACAAATGACACCAGACTTCAGGAAGCAAATTTCAGCACCAGAGTATCTGAAACAATCCTCACAAATATTGTGATTAAGTATGTGTCTGTCTATAAGCGAGTGACATTGAGTCCAATCTCCAGGGTGCTAGAAATTTCTTATATCTTGATCCAAGTAGTGGTCACATGTAGGTAAGTGTGTAAAATTTGAACTATAAATAAAACTTAGGTACTCTGGGAACTTTCTGAGAGCAATGGAAATATAGGGAAGTGAGGTGATGACTCACGAATGATACAGTTCAATAGGGAAGTGAGGTGATGACTCACGAGTGATATAGTTCAATCTATGCATTTTACTGTATGAAAAGTTTGCCTAGCCAGGCACAGTGGATCACCGGAGGTCAGGAGTTTGAGACCAGCCTGACCAACATGGAGAAACCCTGTCTCTACTATAAATACAAAATTAGCCAGGCATGGTGGTGCATGCCTGTAATCCTAGCTACTTGGGAGGCTGAGGCAGGAGAATTGCTTGAACCTGGGAGGCGCAGGTTGCGGTGAGCCAAGATCGTGCCATTGCCCTCCAGCCTGGGTGATAAGAGCGAAACTCTGTCTCAAAAAAAAGAGAAAAGTTTGCCTAAACAACAAAAAAGATTAGCATGTTATATTTCATTTGTATTATACCTCAAAAAACAAAACAAATGAAAAACTCTTGACAAAAAGAGATCAAGAGAAAGACAATGAGAACACACACCAGAGTAAAGATTAAACCAGGTACTACCGCCCAGCTCTAAGCTGGTCACCTCATTCACTGCCATGCTAGATTTAAGAGCAAGGCTGGGTATACTTACTGCCCTAGATCCGTAACAGGCACTCAAACAGAGCCGGACGAACATGATAACAACTCAGATATAAGGATGAAGGGCAAAAAAGACAAATTTATTTCTAATGACTCCACTGCCTCTCGGCAGGCTAGGGCACTAAATGCTCCCTTGCCCAGATACAATAAACAAAGTCCACACATGTAGACTAAACAGGATCGGGACTGCTGGTGGTACTCATCCCTGTGCTCTCCTGGTTCTCCAATGTTCTACATGGAATATGTATGCATCTCTGTCAGTGGAGAAGTGACCCCATTCTCAAACAAACAAACAAACAAACAAACAAAAGAACACTTGGCATCCTCCCACACAGGAAGGAGTTCATGTCTTGTTCTAGTCATATGCGCGGAGGTTTTCTGTAGCTGAAATCCTAGACTGCACTCCTAGACTGCACATGTGATACTCTCCACATTCTCCCAAGTTCCTCCCCTCTACCCCGTCACGCACTAGGGCACTCTGGCAACAGCAGATGGGGTGACATGGGAGAGCAGGTTCACTGGACTTTACTGCTGCCCAACAGATTTAGTGAACCATCGATTCCTATTTTTAAGAAAATATTGCTGACAATTTCCTATCATTATAAACAACTCAGCAATGAACATTAGCATAGAGAGCTTTCTCTGTATGTCAAATGGCTTTTTTCAGATAGACTCCTACAAGCAAAATTACATAAGAACTCTGTTACTGTTAGGTGGAACCAATTCATCATCTGGAACTCAGATACACAGAGAAGGCAAAGTAATACATCAAAAAGAAGTCAACAAGTTGACGGGTTCCTAGAAAGTTACCAAAATTAATTTAACTTTGAATTTACAAAAGTAAAGGCCATATTTATCAAAACATCAACAAGTACAGTCCTATGGCTGACTGTGATTTTTAAATTTTTTAATATTTTAATTGAAATTGTTAACAGCGACCTGGGTTCTTGGAATCTTCCATGATAGAAATCAAGAGAGATCACCAGACACAATAGCAAAGAGAAAGTGAAAGTGTATTAGCTTATGCATAGTGAGCTAGCACTGCAAAAGGAAAGGGGCAGCTGTTCTCTGAAAGCAGTGTGGGAGTTAACTTTAAAGGGCTTTCCTGTGGGGAGGGGTGATGTCAGGATATGTATATAGGAGGGGTTTTTCTAGTGCATGCACAGTGGCTAAACATGCTTCTTCAGAAATTGCGTGTAGCACTAGCAGGTTAAATCTCCATCCTGGGTGTGACTTTTGGCATTAAAATGAGGAAAAGGTAACTATAAGTTGAAGTTGAAGTCTAACTGCACATGCTGGGGGCGGGGGGGGGCCCAGGGAGGTCCCTAGCCCCATGAAGCAGGAACTTGTGATAACAGTTTCTCGGGGTTTTTTGTTGCTGATTGTTTGGAAGTTAGGTAAGCTACAGCTTGAGTAAGGGGCTTTTATTCTTTTTCTCTAGACCACATCAAAACAGGAAACCAGCCAGCCTGCTTGTTTCAAAATGTTTTGTTTTCTCCATTTAAAATTATACCCTTATAACTGTCTACCCAATATTCTGATGTGACAAAAATTAACACTGTTATTTTTATCCGTTTTTTCCAAGAGTTAACCCTTCCCTCATTGCATTTTCTTCCTTCTTCACCACAAGTAAATGCTCCTGAAGAGATGCCTTACATAAACATTATCATCCTGTACAGCTTTTTGCAACTTGTCTTTTTTCATTCCCAAAAGTTAACAGTTATATAATATTCCACTGCTTTAATAGACTCACTTAGTTCCCCAGATCATTTGAGTTATTTGCAGTTTTTCACTCCCCATGCAAGGCTGCAATGATAACTCTCATTACAACTCTCTCATAATGTCCAGAGATAAGTTTCTCTAGGCCATACACTCAGACTCAGAACTCTGGATTGCTGCATATGTCTATGTTCAACACTGGGGAGCAGAGTGGCAGTTTCTACTGAAAAGGTTGTACTCATTACTACACTCCTACCATCAACCAGAGGCTGTTCCACTCCCTATATTCTAGCATCCACCAGGTTACCTACTGCTTGGATACTATTAGGCATTATCATCTTTGTCACCTGCTTGTGTGGTTTGTTCTTGTTAGTCTGGGAATCTTGTTATTTACATGTTTAATGTAATCTATTAATCAATCTTCAACATTTTATGATTTGTACTTTCTGTATTTTCAAATGCCAAAGGTGAAAAGTATTCACTATTTTCATTTTTTAAGTTTTCACTTTGTATTTTTTCCACCTTCAGGTCTTGAATCCTCTGGTTCCCCCAAGCTAGAATGTAAAGCCCTGTCCTGGTCCCACTTATTTACCCTACTGGCTGAGCGCAGTGGCTCATGCCTGTAATCCCAGGACTTTGGGAGGCCAAGGTAGGTGGATCACCTGAGGTCGGCAGTTCGAGACCAGCCTGGCCAACATGGTGAAACCCCGTTTCTACTAAAAATAAATACAAAAAATTAGCCAAGCGTGGTGGCAGGCGCCTGTAATCCCAGCTACTTGGGAGGCCGAGGCAGGAGAATTGCCTGAATCGGGGAGGCAGAGGTTGCAGTGAGCTGAGATCAGGCCACTGCACTCCAGCCTGGGCGACAGTGAGACTCCTGTCTCAAAAAAAATAAAAAATAGGCTGGGTGTGGTAGCTCACGCCTGTAATCCCAGCGCCGTGGGAGGCTGAGGCGGCCAGATCATGAGGTCAAGAGATCAAGACCATCCTGGCTAACATGGTGAAACCCCATCTCTACTAAGAATACAAAAAATTAGCTGGGCGTGGTGGCACACACCTGTAGTCCCAGCTACTCGGGAGGCTGAGGCAGAATTGCTTGAACCCAGGAGGCGGAGGTTGCAGTGAGCCAAGATCACGCCACTGCACTCCAGCCTGGGCGACAGAGTGAGACTCCATCTCAAAAATAAATAAATAAATACATACATACATAAATAAAATAAAATAAAATATGTACCCTACAACACCCTTCTCTCCATGTATTACCAGAGAGGTGCACCCTGTGCCCTCTGTTCCTGTGCTCTGTGTATTACTATACTAATATCACTGTTTAAACTACCACAAACTCACAATAAACTGTTCCCTGGAAATTTGTCATGCCTATTTGATTCCATCTAAGATACTAATCAATTTCAGATTCTTTCTGAACAGTATAGAGAACTTTAAAAAACAAGAAACACAGCAGTCACTAATCTTTCCCTACACATTAGATTACACAGTTCTGATCTTTGTTTCCTCATATTACTTTGGAAGTTACATACTCACGATTCCAAAAATAGATACAAGTATACTATTGAAGTGTTCTTCCTTCAGACCTATCTTCATGAAATCACTTTCTGCCTGGAGTTATCCTTTAGAACTTCTGCCACTAGCCCTTAAAGATGTACTCTTTCATTCAGGAGGGTTATTTCAGCAGAGACAGAACACTGTGCTGCCCATCTCTTTCTCAACATACCCCACTGCCTGCTGGGCTCTGCTGCTACTGCCAAGAGTCACCTGGCAGCCTCAGTGCTGTGCTTGTCAGGTTTTCCTCAGTCTATTTTTAAGTCTTTTTTTTTTAATTTCATTATGACTTACACAGAATTCTTTTTATTTATCCTTCCTGGAATTTGGGCTTCTTGAGTCAGTGGATTGGTGCCACACCAATTCTCGAAAATTCTCAGCAAATATCATCTTTGATCTATTATTCTCTCTTTACACCTTCTGAGACTGATTAAAAGTAGGTCCAACCTTCTCACTTTCACTTATTTCTTTCATATTTCCTGCCATTTTTCTTTCATTCTTCCAGCCCTTTTCTGGTGTGGCCAATCTGCTATGATTTAGCAGCATTCTCTGAATTTCCAAATTTCATTGATTGTGCTTCATTTTCTCCCCCTATCAATGTTAACTGTTTCGTTTCTTCCCTGCAGATAAACGATTATCTTATCTTTAACCAAAGCCCCTTTAGTGAGGTATGGCTGACATACAAAGGCTGCACACAAACCATCACTACAATGTAGGCCACAAACCTACTCATCAAAAGGTTCCCCCCATCCTCTTATTATTACTTTTTGTGATAAGAACACTTAAAATAAGATCCTCTTAGTAAATTCTTTCAAAAAATTTTTTTGTAGAGATGAAATGTGCTATTTTGCCCAGGCTAGTCTCAAACTCCTCTCTTGGCCTCCCAAAGCACTAGGATTACAGGCATGAGCCACCGCATCCAGCATGCAAATTTTTAAGTGTACAATACAGTATTGTTAACTACAGGCACTATGCTGTACACATCTCTAGGATTTATTCATCTCATATAACTGAAACTCTGTATCCTCCTTATTTCTTTAAATACAAAAAACACTCTGGAATTACCAGGGAAGTTTCCACTGGTTCTTTCTTGTGGTGCCTTGTTTTATTTTGATTATGTTTTACTGCAAGCTGCTAAAAGCCCTCGAAAAACACATGAGGATTCCTCAAGATCAGGATAATGACGCCTTTGTGCAGAGACAATGATTTTCATTTACTTCTAGTATCTGAAGCTGGCTGCAAGAGCACAAGGGTCATCCTTTTGCTTCAATCTCTTGGGAACTTGTTATCTTTTTCCACTCTTTCCTCATCTACATGAAATCACTTTCTGCCTGGAGTTATCCTTTAGAACTTCTGCCACTAGCCCTTAAAGATGTACTCTTTCATTCAGGAGGGTTATTTCAGCAGAGACAGAACACTGTGCTGCCCGTCTCTTTCCCAACATACCCCACTGCCTGCTGGGCTCTGCTGCTACTGCCAAGAGTCACCTGACAGCCTCAGTGCTGTGCTTGTCAGGTTTTCCTCAGTCTATTTTTAAGCCTTTTTCTTTTTTAGTTTCATTATGACTTACACAGAATTCTTTTTATTTATCCTTCCTGGAATTTGGGCTTCTTGAGAAGCCCACAGTGCGCTGTGGATCTCCTGATGGGGTTTACTTCAAGAGTGCAGCGCCCCAAGGTCCCAGCTTAGTAGTACAGACGGGACTGTTATGACAACCCCCGACCCAGCAGGGGCCGAACTCTGATTTCTGAATTCGCTGGCCCACATGGCTACCAAAACCACAGCTCAGCTGGAGAAGTTCTATTTTCCCTCAGCAAAAGGCAGTCTGAGTCTTGCTGTGACACATGGAGAATCTTCAGATGGGCCTTTACCCCAGCTCCCTGAAGTAATTCTACTCCCTTCTGCCTTCTGTTGAGAATTTGTCAGTCTGTTGTTCCTTTATAAGTCATGTCTTTTTTTTCTATAGTTGCTCTTAAGATTTTGCTTTTCGGTCTTCTACAATTTTAAGTCTTCTTTTAGAAAATTTGCTCAGCTCTTACGGCTTACTGCTTTTTTCAGCTCCATTTAATCTACAGTTTAACTGTTCCTTTAGCTTATTTCAATACTATGTTTTCACTTCTTGAAGTTCTAAGTTTTCCATATCCTCATTTTTTTATAGTATCCCTTTCCATTATGGTTTCTATTTCTTTTTAGAACATCTCTAGTCATTGTGAACATCTCTTGTGGTACATTATTTCCTCATGTGGTTATGAACTCATCTTCTCTCCTGCGGTACTAAATGTCCCTACAGAGTGGTCTTACCCTTGTTTTTGCCAGGAATGACAGGGATTTATGTTAAATCCTTTGAGACAAAGATTTCTGTACATGTGGAGAGTGGGACTGAGAATCTCCAACAACTGCAGACACAAGCTTTGCCAATTTCTTGGGCCAAGGTTTTCCAGTTCTACTCTCAAGCTTGACTTGCTTAAACTGTAGTTACATTTTGAAGATCTCTAGGTGTATGTGTGTAGGTGAGGTGAGGATGAGAGATTCATACCAGCTCTGTCCTAGAAGTGTGAGTCAATTAAGAGTCCTGATCCTCTAGGAGCATGCCATGGCTCGAGGTCAACACGTGCACAAATTTCTACCTTTAACCTACATCATTCACACATTTCAGCAAGCCCCCACTATTTGCCAGGTACTTTCTAGGACTATAATGGGATTAGAATTGTATTTGCCTCTAGAAGCACATAGGAAAGAACAACTGCCATGGAGATAGAAGTTTCCAAAGATCTGAGCTAAAAGTTGGAGACTTCAGGTGGGTATACAGGCCCTGCTGGAAGCAGAGACATATCCACCAACACAAGTCTGTAAGAGCAGCACATGATTCGGAATGACTGGAACGAGACAAAAAAAAAAAAAGTGAGTAACAGCTATTTCCACCATCTTTTCTTGCCTCCGTAATGCATGAACGTCTTGGCTGATGC
This sequence comes from Homo sapiens, assembly GCF_000001405.40. Taxonomy (NCBI): domain Eukaryota; kingdom Metazoa; phylum Chordata; class Mammalia; order Primates; family Hominidae; genus Homo; species Homo sapiens. Next base: position 128,799,181 of record NC_000003.12, on the reverse strand, counting down.
TCTCAAGGGCAAACACCAGGTTCTTATTAGGCTGTGCTCCCAAGTCATGGTCTGGTTCTAAGTGTGAAGATGAAACATGATCACATTGAAAATTTGAAATCACTGGTCATCACAGAGCTGGGAAAATTACTGTAAACCTCACAGGCAGGTTAAAACTGCCCCTGGAATGATTGGCCCCAGATGTGATGTGCAACTCAAAGATCTAGAAAAATGACAGGATAATCTACTCCTATCCCAATAGTTTGGTTTCAAAGTGAGGTTGTACTGACAACCTCAGCTGGCATCATGGACCATGAAGAAAGAGATGAAAATACAGGAGGGAAAATCCTGGGATTCTTTTTTTTTTTTTTTTTTTTTTTTAAATTTAGAGACAGGGTCTCACTCCATCACCCAGGCTGGAGTATAATGGAGCAGTCACAGCTCACTGCAGGCTCAAACTCCTGGGCTCAAGGTATCCATCCTTCAGGGGTTTCTTTTCTAGGGATGTTAATACATGTATACAAACAAAATGACTCAATGGGGGAAAAAAAGGGAATAATAGTTTATAGCCAGAATGTGAAGGCTTTTCAACAAGTCATATGAAAGAATCTGTATCTTATCCTAACTGTTGAAAGGGAACCCTTGAAAGATTAATAAGCTGATACATAAAAAAAAGATTGGCTCAATAGACACACAACTCTTGAAGTTACGTATGAAATAGGAAGTCAGAAAAATAAAGTTTATGTCTCACTACTGAGGTGAGACAAAGATGTTTACCTAAAGCACTGGGCAAGGATGTCAAGAGAGGCACAAGACAGAGACCTGCAGGTTGCCAAATTTAGCAAACAACAAAACCAAAAACAACAAAAAACAAGAAAGGATAAATCTGAGTTTTTTTTTAAGAAGAATTTTTTAGTGTGTCTTAGCAAGTCGTATCTGAGATACACTAGAAGTATACTAAAAAAGTATTCACTATTGATCTGAAATTCAAATTTAACTGAGTATCAGCCAATTATCTACAAATAAGATAATAAGATTTGAAGAACAGGGAAGGAAAATGTCTATGCATGAGGAAAGATTAAGACTAAATGAACTATCAAGGCCTGGTCAGCACAGCCAAGACATGTGCTTACCTGCATTGTGACTAGCCTGTCATCCACCATCACCTCCTTGGTCAGAAAGTCAGCTCCTATTGTGGCTTTGTACTGATTGCTGAATTTCTTATTCACATACTGGTTCATGAGTGATGTCTTCCCGACTCTGAAATTGGAGAAAAACCATAAGTATAAGTCAAATAGGAGGGTCCTGAAACTGACACGAATTACTTGAAGCATTTAAAAGAATCTGCCTGACCTGAAGGACAAGAAACTGCCCTCACAGCAAAGGGCAATGCCAGTAGCCTTCCGAGCATTACACTTTTGAAGTTTTGTGTTTTCTCTCTGGGTAAAAATATAGGGTACAGATGTGGGGCAGATGTGGAAAAGCTGCTTACATGTTTTGGCACAGCCAGGTCAAATGGTAGAGCCTAGTATTATTTTTTCCATTCTAGAAGGATGCCAGCAAATATACTGCTTTCTAAAAGAAGCTTCACTATTAAGACTGTTCTGCTATTCCAACAGTATCCCTGCTATCTTAGATGTTTCTCCATTTAGTGGCTGCTATTTAGCTTGATGAAGTAACACCAGGAGGAAGACCTTGGCTTTCAGCAGACACACACCACTCAGACAATTTGCTGCTTTAAAGTTTAAAATCTGAAGCAGAAAAAGCACCAATATATCACCAAAACAAATCCACCTCAAAGAATGCTCCTCCAAATATGTTTTCTAGTAAGAAAACTCAGCAAGAGACAATGTGTGATTTTTGTGTGATAAGGTTAAGGTAACCTAAAGCTAATACAAAAACCTTCCCCCCCATAGCCAGTGATATCACCTTTCTTGGCCACAAAGGAACATGTTCATATTTGTGTTAAAGAACCTGGAGGTACCTAGACAGCCGAAGGCAGTGTTTTCCAACCCAGACCATCTAAGCCAGAATCTACAAGGTGAGAGGTGGCAAAACCTGGAATCGAACAAGGGCTTGGTGAGACTTTTTGCACAAGTTTGGGGAAGGCAGGCCTAAAAGCACTATCTTTCCATCCCGACGGGGATGGAGTTGCGGGGTAGGAGAGAGAGCACAAATCTAGGCCCTAGCCCACTGGTCTGGGGCTGGGCAAATGCTAGCGAACAAAAGGTTCTTCAAAGGCTGGGCATGGTGGCTCAAGCCTGTAATCTCAGCACTTTGGGAGGTCGAGACGAGTGGACTGCTTGAGCCCAGGAGTTTGAGACCAGCCTGGGCAACATGGTAGAACCCTGTCTCTATAAAAAATACAAAAATTTAACCAGGAGTGGTAGCACACACTGGTGGTCCCAGCTACTCTGGAGGCTGAGGTGGGAGGATGGCTTAAGACCAGGAGGTTGAGGCTGCAGTGAGCTGTGATTGCACCATTCACTTTAGTCTGGGCAACAGAGCGAGACCCTGTCTCTCACACACATACAAAAAAAGGTTCTGCAGGTGATTCAAATAAGCCAGTCAAGACAGAAAAACCTCTGGCTTTTCAAAGGAAGGGCAGGGGACTTTGGAATAAAGAAGCATACCTGCATTTGCTATTGTTGTTATTTTTAAAAATACATAAGCTTCCAATGAGTCAAAGCTTTCATGGGTCCCTTCAGATGCCAAGTCTGAAAAGCCTACCACAGAATCTTTTTATTTTAAGAGTTGGGGTCTTGCTCTGTCACTCGGGCTGCAGTGCAACGGCATGATCATAGCTTGCTACAGCCTCAAACTCCTGGGCTCAAGCCATCCTCTCGCCTCGGCCTCCCCAGCAGCTGGAACTACAGGTACGGCACCTGGCTAAATTTTTTTTGTAGAGACAGGTCTCCAACTCCTGGGCTCAAGCAATCCTCCCCTCAGCCTCCAAAGCACTGGGATTATGGGCATAAGCCACCTCACCCAACCTACCACAGAATCTTAAGAGCCATTAGAGTTAGCTACATGGTTAGTGGCACATCTAGAATCAGAACCCAGTTCTGCCGTCCCAGGCTCTTTTGCAGATAGATCTGAAGCAGGCACAGCAGCAGGAGGATACTGTATGGTGCACTAAGAACGCACATCTGGGTCGGGCGCGGTGGCTCACGCCTGTAATCCCAGCACTTTGGGAGGCCGAGGCAGGCGGATCACGAGGTCAGGAGATCAAGACCATCCTGGCTAACACGGTGAAACCCCATCTCTACCAAAAATACAAAAAACTAGCCGGGCGTGGTGGCGGGCGCCTGTAGTCCCAGCTCCTCGGGAGGCTGAGGCAGGAGAATGGCGTGAATCCGGGAGGCGGAGCTTGCAGTGAGCCGAGATCGCGCCACTGCACTCCAGCCTGGGCGACAGAGCGAGACTCTGTCTCCAAAAAAAAAAAAAAAAAGCACATCTGCTACGCCAGATGCCAATGGCAATACATCTACGTAAGGAAGACTCCCCAGCCTGGCCAGCTTGGAGAAAAGGGATTCCATGAAAATGCCTATCCTTAGTTGAGTTCAAATAGCCATCCGTTCCCCATAAAAAATCATGCTAAAAACTAGAGAACAAAAGGTTATATAACAAGGGATCATCTAAATTTCTGCCGTGGAGGGAAACATGTAAGGCCCTAAGCCTCACTATGAAAGCAAGAAGTGGCAGCACGGACAGTGTGGGCTCCACAGCAGAGAGGCTTAGCTCTAAGCCAATCTGTTAGCTCAAATTCATGAGTAACTTACCCAGAATCTCCCAGGATGATAACCTTCAGCAACACTTTCTTCCTAGAGGTCATCCTTCAAACTAAAGGGGGAAAAGGAGAAATCACTGTGAGTGTGATGGAAACACCAAAACAAAACACCTCCCTTGCACAAATGTCTGAGCAGCCCCAACAGTGCAGGGCCCTGAACCTTCCTGCTAGGTATCTTCCTTCCACCAGGGGGCACTGATAAAAAACAGTATCACTCACCAAAACTCTGGACCCAAGAGCGAGGCAGAACAGCACAGCAGGGCCATCCTGCCCCTGCAAGCTGTTGGAGAGAATGTATTCTCTCACTTGGGTGGTGGATCAATTGAATGGATTGGCAATTTGAACTAATGCTCCAACTTACTCAACAGCTTGGTCCTTGCTTCATTCAGGTCGCTGCTTCAGTATCACTTTCTCAAAGAAGTGACCGCTTTATTTAAAGCAGCATAACCCCTCATTTGCTCTCTATCCCGTTACTCTGCTTGCTTTTCCTTCAGAGCACTTACCACTAATTGACATTTTTATGTACTATATTAATCTAGTCTATCCCTTTTCTAACAATCTCCATGAAGACAGTTTTACTCCCCACTGTATACTCAATGCCAAGTAGAAATTTATTAAATGTTGGGTACCGTCTGAATACTTGACTCTGCAGCTCTAGTGACTACTCTTTTCCAGAAAATCTTTCAGGCAGCCTTGTCTACTCATAACCAGAAGATGTGAAAAATGCCTGATCTCTGCTCAACTGTCTTCCAGGACTTGCCACAGCATGGTCTATCTACTCATCAAGACAGGGCTCCTGCTGTAATTGCCTCTCATTTGCCAGGGTATGACTCAGTGACTTCCAGAAAATGAATGGGACTCAGAAGAACTACTTGTTAGTTTCCTCTTTAACCACCTACCTTTTGAAGGCAAGGCTGACAGCAGTGCCTATAGTGGGAGTGACTTAAGCAGCAGATATGAACCCAGGCCACAGGGATTTCTATTCTGGTTTTGCCGCTTATTAATTTAGCTATATGACCTTGAGCCAGTCATTTAATTTCTCTGTTGGAATAGGGAATATAGAGATGACAGCTCTTATGTCCTAAGAATGCTGTGAAGACTGAATAAATAAAATGCTCAGGACAGTAACTAGAATACAGCAGATGACTAGTAAATACTGGCCGCTACCATCTTAAGGTATGCCAAATACAGAGATGAGTAACAGAACACAGAGTCCAGAAGACAGTGAGAGAAGCAGCAGGTTACAGCTCCTAGGCAAGGTAATCCAGCTATCCCTCTCTTTCCAGATGCTTGGCTGTCAATTGTTCTCTTTCTCAAGAGGTGGTATTACACCCAAGACCACTAACTAAAAGGAAATATCAGACCTGACTACTGTCCTAAAGGGCAGGATTTGCTAAGAAGGCCTACGCTCTTGAAAGTAACCATCCTCGATGGCTTCAGAGTCTGTTTCTGGCTACAAGAACAGTATGGGAATAGGAGCCAGACTAGAGGATGGTTTGCTAGGCACACACCCCAGGTCCCATGACCTATGCAGAGGGTCAAGCTGTTTCTCTGCCAAAAGCCTCATGCCCATGGCTGGACTGTGAAGACACGGTATCTCAGCCCACCAGCATTCATCTAGAAAGTTCTTACTAGTGCTAGTTAGGGGCAGTATAAGATGACTTGGAGTTCTGTCTTCCATCATAATCAGCACTGAGAGGTATACCCCAAACTATCCATTATATGTGGAGCCCCACTATTCCCCTACCTTTCTCCCCAGGGACCGCTTTGACTGGTCAAAGTTTAAATGTCACACTCTAAGGTCTGGTATCATATTTCAAGATAGAGATCAGATGATGATAATGGGGGCAAGTTTCAAATAGAAAGAAGGGGAGGCCAAGGTAGGCAAATCATGAGGTCAGGAGTTCGAGACCAGCCTGGCCAACATGGTGAAACCCCGTCTCTACTAAAAATAGAAAAGGCTGGGCACGGTGGCTCATGCTTGTAATAACGGCACTTTGGGAGGCCCGAGGTGGGTGGATCACAAGGTCAGGAGTTCAAGACCAGCCTGGCTAACATGATGAAACCCTGTCTCTACTAAAAATACAAAAATTGCTGGGCACAGTGGCTCATACCTGTAATCCTAGCACTTTGGGAGGCCAAGGCGGGCGGATCATGAGATCAGGAGATCGAGACCAGCCTGGCTAACACGGTGAAACCCCGTCTCTACTAAATATGAAAAATTAGCTGGGCGTGGTGGCATGTGCCTGTAGTCCCAGCTACTCAGGAGGCTGAGGCTGGAGAATGGCTTGAACCCGGGAGGTGGAGGTTGCAGTGAGCCGAGATTGCGCCACTGCACTCCAGCCTAGGCGACAGAGCGAGACTCCGTCTCAAAAAAACAAAAAACAAAACAAAATTAGCTGGGCATGGTGGCACGCGCCTGTAATCCCAGCTACTCAGGAGGCTGAGGCAGGAGAATCGTTTGAACCCGGGAGGCGGAGGTTGCAGTGAGCCGAGATCACGCCACTGCACTCCAGCCTGGGTGACAGTGCGAGGCACTGTCTCAAATGAATAAATAAATAAATAAATAAATAAATAAATAAATAAATAAATAAAAATTAGCTCGGTGGGTGCCTGTAATTCCAGCTATTCGGGAGACTGAGGCAGGAGAATCGCTTGAACCCAGGAGGCAGAGGTTGCAGTGAGTGGTGGGGAAGGGAAAAAAAGGCTGGGTGTGGTGGCTCACACCTGTAATGCCAGCACTTTGGGAGGCCGAGGCAGGTGGATCACTTGAGGTCAGCAGTTCAAGACCACCCTGGCCAACATAGTGAAACTCCATCTCTACTAAATACACAAAAAAATAGCTGGGTGTGGTGGTGCGCACCTGTAGTCCCAGCTACTCGGGAGGCGGAGGCAGGAGAATCGATTAAATCCAGGAGGCAGAGGTTGCAGTGAGCTGAGATCACACCACTGCACTCCAGCCTGGGCGACAGAGCAAGACTCTTTTTCAAAAAGGAAAAAAAAAGAAAATAGATAAAAAGATGATAAAAGGATATGCAAAGATATTTGGAGAATATTTATGAAAGTGACTGATTTTAAGAATGGGAAAAGGGATTTGCATAACTTGCTTTGTTAATAGGTTTCACTGGTGTACCAATGCTGTTTAATAATATTAAAAAGAAAAAAAACAGGAAATACACTTCAACCTCCAGACTCCTACATGATAGAATTCATGTTTGTTTCCTTCCCTTTGAGTCTCTACCCACACGTGTCACAAAGCAGTGACCGTGAGACCACCTTACGTCTTAATGTCTAATATTCCTCTGAGTGAATTAAGCATTTAAATAGCCATTCCCGCTCTTTATTTAATATAACAAAAATTTGGAAAAAATGCTGTAATCTATGGGATTACTTCCTTGAGATACAGCAACACCTGTGTGAGGGTTGATGGGTGGGTAGATCTTTCTAGATTCTGACTCGTAAGATTATCACAGGCCACATGTGGCACAAGCCCACTGAGAAAGACTGGGACAGACAAAGCTGGCAGGCAGGGCAGTGGCAGGTCATCAGCAGCAGCAGTTCTTGCAAGAGTCCATACAGAAGATGGCTCAGGCACAGGGAGACTGTGCCGACTCAATACCTTGACTCAGAATGCTCAATCCTGGGGGTGCAAGTATCTCTTTTGACAGCTCCTTAGGCTCCCCATAAGGACATGCCCAGCAGAGTCACTGTGTTCCATGAAACAAAAGCCTGGGTGGCCCATCACTTATCCATGGCTCTTTCCCATCCAAATGTAATTTACCAACCAGGGGACATTTTACCACAAGGACCATGCCCAGAAACAAATGTTATGTTCTGCCTTATCTAGCTCCCAGGGAAACAGAGCTAGAAAGTTAAACAAAAGTCAAATTCTCATGCAAGGAAAGGATTTTGTCAACTGTAACTCACAGATTCTGTTTAGGGATGGGATTTCTGAGTCCAGAGCAAAGTTTTGGCCAGGCGCGGTGGCTCACGCCTATAATCCCAGCACTTTGGGAGGCCAAGGAAGGTGAATCACCTGAGGCCAGGAGTTCGAGACCAGCCTGGCCAACATGGGAAAACTCTGTCTCTACCAAAAATACAAAAAATTAGCTGGTCGTGGTGGTGGGCAACTAATCCCAGCTACCAAAAAGGCTGAAGCAGGAGAATCGCTTGAACTCAGGAGGCGGAGGTTTCAGTGAGCTGAGATCACACCACCGCACTCCAGCCTGGGCAACAAGAGCAAAATTGTCTTTAAAAAAAAAAACAAACAAAACATGAAGAAGTTTTCATGATTTTTGCTAATTCACTTTCCTGAAAGATTTTTCCCATTTATACAACAATCACTATTACAGTGGTTAGCACGAGTACAGGACCTAAATGAGAAAAATAATTTTACAGAGAAAAAAAGAATTTGAATAAACAGTCTATGGGAGCCTTAATGTAAAGACTTGCATTCATGCATTCTCTCCTATTTAAACAAGTCCAGGGTTGTTGTTGTTGTTGTTGTTTTTGAGGTGGGAAGGGGAGGCTGGGGAGCATTTAATATAAACAATCCCGTTTTTATTCATAAAAATAAATAAATACACAAGAAATGTCCCTTCCCCTAAAACACAAATGACAAGAGACTTGCCTTTACAGTCTTGAAAAGCATGTTATAAAAATACAGTATTAACAGTGGGGTGCTGGAATAGGACTAAACCGATCAATGAAACAGACACCAGAAATGAACAATTTTGACAAATATGGCATTATAAAATTCAGTGGCAAAAAGATGAACAATTCACTAAATGGTAAGAGCCAGAAAAATTTTGGTGAGAATTAAGATCTCTACATCTCCTCTTCCAAGAGATTCCCAAAGGAGTAAAGATTTAAATGTAAAAATGGTTACACATGAAGCAGAAAGGAATATACACAAATATTAGCAAGTTGTTCCATGTGGTGGGATTACAGATGTTTTTGTTTCCTTATACTTAACTGTGACTCTTAGAGGAGCACATTACCTTTACACTCAAACAGCCACCTCCACTTTGGAGAAAAATGTTAATCTGTTGATTTTTTCAAATCAATTTCTGATGACAAAAATCTCCACTCATCATGTAAGACAAATTACATTTAAATGCAGATTTTCATCTTCACTCAGGGCTGGCTAAGCATTTCAGAGTTGTTGCAAATGGTACTAAACAGCTGATACTAAGAATTCCACATCTTCTTTCACCAGGACATTGATGGCTTTAAACTGGCAAAAGTTAAAAGGTATATTTTTGTACTTAATGTTCTCCCAGATCAAGAATGGGACACTTGTTTCTAGAAAAGAGCCAGGGGCCAGGCGTGGTGGCTCATGCCTGTAATCCCAGCATTTTGGGAGGCTGAGGTAGGTGGATCACGAGGTCAAGAGACTGACAAATCCATCCTGGCCAACATGGTGAAACACCAGCTATACTAAAAATACAAAAATTAAGCTGCGCGTGGTGGCACGCGCTTGTAATCTCAGCTACTTGGGAGGCTGAGGCAGGAGAATCGCTTGAACCTGGAAGGTGGAGGCTGCAGTGAGCCGAGATCACACCACTGCACTCTAGCATGGGCAACAAGAGTGAAACTCCATCTCAAAAAAAAAAAAAAAAGCCAGGAACAAAACACACTAAATGCAACTTTTGCTACAAGAAGCTGCCCAAGCAGAGTTAGCTTCAAAATGTCCAAAAGCAATTTCTGCTTTTGTTATCAATTTCTATTTCCATCTTCATGGATTTCTGAAGACTGAAATTATTTTTTAAAAGCCTATGGCCAGGCATGGGTGACTCATGCCTGTAATCCCAGCACTCTGAGAGGCTGAGGCGGGCAGATCACTTGAGGTCAAGAGTTCGAGACCAGCCTGGCCAACATGGTAAAAACCCATCTCTACTGAAAATACAAAAATTAGCTGGGTGTGGTGAAACACACCTGTAATAACTACTCGGGAGGCTGAGGCAGGAGAATCACTTGAACCCAGGAGGCAGAGGTTGCAGTGAGCCGAGATCGCATCACTGCGCTCCAGCCTGGGCAACAGAGCGAAATGAAGTCAAAGATTTAAAAAAAAAAAAAAAAAAAAGGCTACAAAGTTTGAAATTTCTAACTGGAAAACAGTTCTCTAAAGCACCGACCACTTCCTCTCACAGGAGAATCTGCAGCCAGCAGAGTAGAAAGGAAGAAAGAGTTACATAAGATCTCTGAGACCTGGTCCTTCAAGGAAAGCATTTTAGATAACATCCATTAATCCATGTATATATTAATATCCTCTAAAAATTTTCTAGAATAAGGTATATTCATAACACATTTCTTTCCTTCTGCCACCAAACCAAACCTCACCAGTGTGCATCGGAAGAAGCTCCTCAGAGCGAAACTACCAGTATTGGTACCAGTATTTGAACGATGAAACAATTCTTTCTTTCAAGTACAATGTTTCTCATAACAAATCAAAAGCTGGCATCTTCCTTTATTCGCCTGCAGTCATCACCTTCTTCATCTATGCCACAGAAAAGCCAAATGGCCACATAAGCAGACAAAATAAGGAAACATGAGCAGGTAAAAAGATCAAGAAAAATATTGTTCAAGGGCTTGGGTGGGCAGAGGTCGGTGGTCAGAAAGAGGTTAACCAGGAATACACAGGGGTACCTAGGGGAAGGGCAAAGGACTGCTATGGTGAAAATGAGGACAGCAGGGAAGGGCTAGGAAGTTGGGGGTCAGTTAGCAATTCGAAAGTCTGAATTCTTGCAGGTAGGATAACAGCTCACGTGGAGGTGAAGGCTTTATGGTGTTGCAGGAATTGAAAGCAAAGTATAGTAGTACCCACTTATCCATGGGGGGTAGGCCCCAAGACCCCCAGTGAATGCCTGAAACACAGCAAGTACCAAACTTGTCATCCGTCAGGACACATTGATGATGTTCATGTTTTCCACCTACAAATTTAATGCTTTTTCCATTGTAACTAACCACTCATCATATACTGTGGCTTTTACCTTTTGCAGTATGAGGTGTCACAGCAAAATTAGCATGATTTTCTTTTTCCTTCTTCACAATTTCAAAGATAGAAAATATGTTCTCACAAATTTTAGCAACCTCGGCATACAATTTTTTCACTTTCCTTATTAAGTCAACAATTTTTACCTTTTCACTTCAAGAGCTTCTCTGTGGCATAACCAAATTGCCAGCATCTTGTGCTTTGGGACCATTATTAAGTCAATTATGAGTTACTTGAACACAAGCATTGCAACATTGATGTGATAACCAAGACAGCTACTAAGTGACTAACGGGCAGGTAGCATCTATGGTGTAGAAACCCTGGACAAAGCGATGATTCACTTCCTGGGTGGGATAGCACAAGCTTCATCAAGCTAATCCAAACAGCACGCAATTTAAAACTTATGGCAGGGTGCAGTGGCTCATGCCTGTAATCCCAGAACTCTGGGAGGCTGAGGCAGGAAGACTGCTTAAGGCCAGGAGTTTTGAGACCAACCTGGGCAACATGTTGAAACCCAGTCGCTACAAAATATTTAATACATTACCTGGGCATGGTGGTACACTCCTGTAAGTCCCAGTTACTCGGCAGGCCGAGGTGGGAAGATGGCTTGAGCCCAGGAGTTTAAGGCTCCAGTGAGCTATGATCGCTCCACTGCCCTCCAGCCTGGGTGACAGAACAACCCTCTGTCTCAAAAAGCAGACAAACAAAAAGAAACTTAAGAATAGTATTTCTATAGTTTCCCGTTTAATATTTTCAGACCACGATTGACTGCAGATAAAGAGGATTACTATATCTGCAAAGCCATCAAAACAACAGTGTAAAATGCAGGAGATGAAATTGAACCAGGTGTTCATCACATCCACAGTCAGACAGCAACGAAGTGGCAGAGCTGGAATTACCAGGAGTGTCAGCCCAGGTCCTACCATGCCATTTTGCAGTACCAGCTCTCACCCAAAGGAGGATTCTGGCTTGTGAGGGCTGGGACTTTTAACAAGTCTTTTATGGCAATTCAGGCATACACACCAAGTTTGGAAACCACTGATGTGAAGAGTCTACAACTACTGTTCTGATTTACATGTTGTGCCCGATCCAAAACCGTAATGATAGCACTAGATATTTGAACAAATGCTAAAGGTTCAACAAAGCCATGACAGTTAAACCAATTAATGTTCTATAGTTTGTTAACATTTTTAGTTGGTTGGTGTTTCCAAGTTGCCTGTCTGCAACAACTGGGTCCTAATCACAGTTGGCTTTTCTGCTCCCCTGCACTGTTCCCACCCTAACTATGGTATCAAATTGTAGAAAACTCAGGAAGGTACGAAAGAATGAAGACAAAAAGCTACTGACAATTCCATCTCCCAGAAGCAATCACTATTAGTATTAGAGTATATGTCTTTCTAGTTTTCCTTCAAATGGTTGAGGTTATATACCATGTATAACTTTGCATCTTGCTTTTTCTATATTAAATATCTTCCCATGTTATTAACATTAAGGTTGCATGATATTCAGCACATGGATAATCTCAAAATTTCCCTTGCTGCTAAGTATGCATTGTTTTCAATTATGATGAGATGAACCTACATATACACTCTGTCAGCATAATCTGATCAGACTCACAAATGTTTTAATCACTCGGCATTTCTTGGATTAGTAGAATACATTTCATCCATGTGTCTCTCATTCTGCTGATGGTCTTTGCCTACCCTGCCTACTAGAATGTGACTTATTGCACATATGATCTAAATATAGCACTGGGAAGGAAGCATCATAGGGATACAGAGTTCGGAAGTAGCAGGCTTCTGAGCAGATTCCAAAGTAACATTCCACACTTTCACCAGCACGGAACATGGGTAAATGTCTCTCTGTCCATCTCATTTTCTTCCAAGACTTCATGCTCTGTATATGACCATTAGAGAAGACCCAGCAGTCATCTTGCCCTCAAAACTGATTGACTTCAAGGCTCAGAGTGAAGTAGGCAAGCAATATTTGCTCATAAAGTTTTGGAGAAGGTCATGAGGAGAGACCAGAAAGGCATCGAAAGTCACATAATACTACTGCACTGGGCATCAAGCAGAACAGCAGTGTCTGTTGTAGGCAGACTCTTCTCAACTTCCCAAACTGAGGAATCTAATTAGGGCCTGAATAGTGAAGACCCCCTGAAACAGCAAGACATCACTACCACTTACAGAATGCACTTTGTGCCGGGGACTGTACTACAGACTTTCCTGGGGCAATTTGTTTACTCCTCCAACAAACCAAGCCTATAGGGATACAATGAGAATTCCCATTTAACAGATGAAGAAAAAGAAGCTCATCAGGAGTCACTTGGTTTCTAAAAATATTCATTCTGGGGAGGGGGCAAGAATAGAAAGACCAGTAGTCTGACAAGGAAGAAGGAAGGGGATGAGTGGATGGCTCTGGCCAAGCCACTTTTGTGGAATTATGAAGTCATTTGGGGGCACTCGGGAAGTAGGCCGTCAGTCTGTTGTTCCATTTAGAATTACCACCTCTAGGAAGAAACTCAGTAGGAAAAGACAGAAGCCTTTGAAAAGAAACATTAAGGATCTAGGGGGGCAGGATAAACACTTTCATTACAATGAAAATATCTAGTGAGAGAAGCACATCAAGGAGCTGACCAAATACCTTAAAGAATTTTTTTTTTTTTTTTTTTTGAGACAGTCTTGCTCTGTCGCCCAGGTTGGAGTACAGTGGCGCGATCTCTGTTCACTGCAACTTCCCCCTCCAGGGTTCAGGCAACTCTGTCTCAGCCTCCCGAATAGCTAGGACTGCAGGTGCGAGCCACCACGCCTTTTTGTATTTTTAGTAGAGATGGGGTTTCACCATTTTGGCCAGGCTGGTCTCAAACTCCTGAATTCAACTGATCTGCCTGGCTCAGCCTCCCAAAGTGCTGGGATTGCAGGCATAAGCCACTGTGCCCAGCCTAAAAAATTCTTTTAATTTTTTATTTTCAAGAGACGGGTTTCACTGTGTTGTCCAGGTTGGAGTGCAGTGGCTTTTTACAGGTGCAATCCCACTACTGATCAGCATAGGAGAGATGTTTCATCTGCTCTATTCGCAACCTGGGCCGGTTCACCCTCCCTGGGCAACCTGGTGGTCACCTGCTTCTGAGGGGTCACTCTACTGATGCCGAAGTTAATGCAGACACCCAATTGGTATAATGCCCTAAAACCCAGAACTCCTGTGGCTCAAGTGACCTCCTGCCTCAGCCTCCTGAGTGGCTGGGACTATAGGTATGCACCACTGTGCCCAGATGCAAAAATGTAATTCTGTTCTCTCTTCTACAGAGTTAAGAAGCTCTACTCCAATATTTGGTAATCCCAGCTACCAGGGAGGCTGAGGCAGGAGACTCACTAGAACCTGGGGGGTAGAAGTTTCAGTGAGCTGGGATTGCATCACTGCACTCCAGCCTGGGCGACAGAGCGAGACTGTCTCCAAAAAAAAAAAAAAAAAATCATGCCATGAATAGAACTCTTAAGCCCCAGGACTACTAATCATTGTGTTATTAATCTTACTATATTAATCAAACATATACCAAGGGCAAAAGTAGATACGAGACTATAAGGAGAAATCATACCAAATGCAAAAAGTAAAATACTACTGTGATCAAGACGTGTTAAGTTTACTTTAAGGGTAATTACCTTGGTTGGGAGAATTAGGGAAGGATTCCTCTGGGAAGAACTGAACCTGGATATGAAGGGGGAAAAGGGAACAAACAGTTTTCCTTAAAGAACGCACATGCAAGGCCTTACTTGGAGGGGGATATGAAAATGAGGTGCCTGGGCCTGATCACGCAGGACACAGTGGGCCGTACTAAGGTCCCAAAACCACAGAGTAATGAGAAGCCTGACTTGTGGAGATTTCTAAGCAGCAGTGTTCATCCTGCAGAGCCAGCGCCCTGCCTGCCTGCAGTGGGGAGGGTAGGAGACCCTGCGGTGGACAGTGAGGATGCTGCGCCACCTTCAGGCAAGAGAGGACTGCACTAGACCAGTGTGAAAGCAGAAGAGAATGGGGAGAAAGTAAAGGTGGATGGCATCTAGTGATGGATTGGATTGGGATGGGTATGGGAAATGAGGGAAAACGCCAAGGAAGTCACCTGTGTTTATGTCTCATGGGACCAAGAGGATTTCTTAGATCAGGGAAGTCTGAAAAACAGTAACGTGTTTCTTGGGGAGGAATTGTGTTTGATTTTAGACATGCTAAGTTTGAGGTGATTCTCAACCAAATCTATTTTTAAAGATACAGTGGTATTTAGTTATATTTAAGCTTCACTGTTAACTGAGGGAATACTAGTTTGTGCTAGGATTTTATGGCTGAAGTCTATCTAGACGCCTGTGCTAAATTGGGAATGTTACGTGCATTCACCAGACACGGAAAGCAAAAGAGAAGAGATGGCTGGACCTGCCATCTAGAGGTCTGCTGTCTGGTGGCCCAGATGACATAATCATGGCAAAGTACAGCAAAGGAGAGAGCACTACCAGCAGAAATACTGAATGTTTTCAAAGGCAAGACTAAACAGCTGAACGTGCAATGCCTAAAAAGAAGTGTTCAGCATGTTAAAAATAACTGGTCAAAACATTTTACTGGTTATCAATCCCTTAACAAGCTTCAGAGAAGTTCCCAGAAAGCATGCTGGAAAATGTTAAATGACTGGAATGAGAAAGAGCAAGATTGATGGTTCAGGTACAGAGAGCAGCTAAGCATCAGGGGGGTGGCGCAGTAAGTTATCCTGGCAGGCCAATGAGACAGTTGGGATTCAGGAACAAGGCCCGAAGGCATAGATCCACCAAGGCTAGAGGCCTGAGCGGGCACATAAAAGCAGCCAGGTGAGGGAGATATCTAGTCTACCCTTACAGTCCTTCTCCAGAATACACCTCGTTCCCAGCCACCACACGGCTTGTCTCAAATGGGCTTGCCATTCCTCCCACAGGGTCCCACCTCACCCCCTAATGTAATGCCCTTTCTGCCCAGGAGCCTGCTCATCTGGAGGGGGCAGGTGAGGTCTAGGCAGTGTTGAGAGCCTGTCTTCCTGGATACTACTCCCTCAAACGCAAGAGCACCTGGGGCCCAGACACCTTTTTGAAAAGCATACTTGAATCATGACTACCTGGGTCTCTGCCTCTCATCTAAGTGGGGGTAGGGCAGGAGGAGGATAGAGCAGGTGGGAGGTGTGTGTTTGTGGGGGGCGGGGGGGCGGGGGATAAATTCTCCTTGAAGGTATTCTCTCCTTCATCCCCAAATTCCTAATCCCAGTAGTGCCTGTGGTGCAAGGGCTTGGTAAACAATTGTGCAGGGACAGTGGACATGCCCAGAGGCCAAGTAAGAGATGATGGAGAATGCCAATCTGTCTTTGTTTAGATATACATTTTTGGGTCACTGCCTCTGTGAGAGTGCCTTCTTTTAGGTTCCCCTGAGGGCTGCAGATGCTTAGCACAAGACACTCTCTTACTCAAATGAAGACTTTGAACCTCTTGCCCATTATGACACCTCATATATACCACTAAGCAAGAAAAGGTGGGCTGACAATTCTGGCCAAGGAGAATTCTCTGAAGCAGCAACAACAATAAGTGTTACCTGGACTCTTACTTAAAACGTATAGACAGTACTTCCTCATGCTTGGTGACCTGTGATCCTTTGGTAATAAATAGTTGAAGAGAGTAAACAAAATCTAGAGAGATTATACAAGACATAAAGAATGCCTGGGCACTTCCCCCACCCCCCACCCCGCCATTTCCAGGTTTCAATAAATTCTGCTGACAGCCCTGCATCCTACTAGAGCCTACTATGGACAACAGAGGCATGCTGATGTGTGTCACAAGAAGGGGTGGCTAAGTATCAGAAGGTACAGTCACTTTTGCTGTTACTACTGGTCACAGCAGGCCTTTGTGCCATGAACACAGTGCTGTCCCTTAGAGCCAGCCCATGGAGCTTATGTGGCACCATCAAAGGTGACCTCACACGCTGCTTGTGAGGCTGGGAAAAGGGCACAGGGAGGAAGACAGCAAGCATCTCCACCCATGCGGGCATCAGCCTGGATGGACCATGAGGGAGAACGGTTCTGGCATGTGCAGTGTTTCTCCATTCAGCTAGAGCTCAAATGGCATTTTCTTCCTGAGAATTCGAGATTTACACAACTTGTCTAAGGCTCCATAGCTAGTCATGTGCAAGGTAGCAGGCCAGGTTCTATTTTGTCCCATTCAAAGATGCTTAAGGAACTTGAGATCACAGTCCCTATTGTAGGTAACCAGAAGGAAATGCTCCCAAATTCTCAGGAAGACTGCTAATTATACTGAACACTGGGGAAAGAAAGATGGCTAGAAATTGCCAAAACAAGACAATGGAAAGCCAACCTTCCGGTTTTAGGATCACAACCATGGGTTTTGTTTTTGAGATGGAGTCTCGCTCTGTCGCCCAGGCTGGAGTGCAGTGGCGCGATCTTGGCTCACTGCAACTTCTGCCTCCCAAGTTCAAGGGATTCTCCTGTCTCAGCCACCTGAGGAGCTGGGATTACAGGCACGTGCCACCGCACCCAACTGATTTTTGTATTTTTGGTAGAGACAGGGTTTCACCATGTTGCCCAGGTTGGTCTCGAACTCCTGGCCTCAGGTAATTCAGCGCCTCGGCCTCCCAAAGTGCTGGGATTACAGTAAGCCACCGTGCCCGGCCACAACCATGGGTTTCAATCTCACCTCAGATACATTCAGCTGTGTGAACTGTTTTTTGTTTTTTCAGACAAGGTCTCTCCCTCCTTCCCAGACTGGAGTGCAGTAGAGCATGATCACTGCAGCCTCGACCGCCGGGGCTCAAGAGATCCTCCCACCCTTGGCCTCTTGAACAGATGGGACTACAGGCACACGCCACCATGCCCAGCTTTTCTTTTTTGAAAAATTTTTTGGTAGAGATGAGGTCTCTCTACATTGCCCAGGCTGGTCTCAAACTCCTGGGTTCACACATTCTTTCCCACCTTGGCCTCCCAAAGTGCTGGGATTACAGGGATAAGCTACCCCAAGTGGCAGCTGTGTGAACTTAAATGCCCCTCTGCTTCCATGTGAAAAATGAGAATCCTCCACAAATGAGATAATGCACAGAAAGCTCCTAGCATTCCATTTGACACATGAAATATGGGTGGCTTTGTTATGAGGGCTTTTCTAACTTAAATGAAAAATATGCACTTAATCAACAAGTATTATTCCATCTTCCAAATCTCACTACTGTAATCTCTCACACTAACTTCAAGATTTTTGCTGTATCCATGTCAATGCAGACATGAGTCTAATGTCCTTGTTGTATTTCTAATACAAATTATGCATTCAGCTATATACTACCTAAAACTGCAGTGTGATCTGCATTGGTGTACTGCATCATATGTTAACAAACAGGGCAGTAGAGAGTCACATTTAGCATAAGACCCTTGTCATTTGAGGAAGATATGGAGACCTTTGTGAAGTCCTAATTGGCCAATACCAATTTTTACATAGGGCAAAAATGCCCTTTGTTAGAAGAAAAACAAAGCAGCACTGAAACATGGGCACTGGGTCACTAAGTGGCTCACTCCCATATACTAATTTGAATTCTTGCCTCCACTTTTATTGTTTTGCAGTGACCACATAGGCACATGGGCCCTAAGAACATGGGTTACCACTCATGATCCTATCCACTTCATGCTAAAATATCCTATGCCCTAACAGCCTCTTTCTGGCCCCACTTAAATCTGATCATGTGTTGCTATTTTTAATTCAGAAGCAGTAGTCACTGACCATGAGCTAGGGGGTAAACACACCAAATCCAGTTCAAACACTTGCTGAGTGCCATGAAGTGTCCATTACTGAGCTAGGTGCTGGGGATGACCTGCAGACAAAACTGTAAACACTTTCTTACTTCAAAAAGGGGCCATCTCAGTTCTCTATAAGCTGGTAAGTACAAGATTGTGTCCTGTAGCTTTGTAAGTGTTAAACTGGAAACCTCAGTGGCTATATTCAACTAGCTACTTCACAACTCCTTCCTGGACAAGGGCATCTACACAATTCTGAAACCGCCTCCACAGAGTTGAAAAAAATGGCCTGCTGGTTCTGGATAGAAATATAGTTACAACAAAGCATTAATCAGACTGTACTTTGGCCCCTTTCCTTGTTGCTACAAGTCTGACTTTTTGCATCCCCACTGTTCCTAGAGATAGGATTTCTAACATCAGGGTCATAAAATTGTGTGAAAATTGATTTGTGTCCCCACTGTTCCTATAGACAGCATCTCTGACATTAGAATCATAAGGCTTTTATTTAAGGATTGCTTAAGATGTATATCAGACCCCAATTCCAGCAACCAGTTTGAAGACCCCCATGGAGGAACATGATCAGCATGAGAATACAGCTTCTCTCCCTGTCCCATGACTTCACTCTGCACTCTTTGACCAATCAACAATCTCCACACTTCAGCCCACTTAAAACCCTTAGAAATCCCAGCCCCAAACTCCCTAGGGAAATGGATGTGCAGTTCTCTCCTATCTCCTCATGAGGTGGCCCTATGATTAAACCTCTTTCTCAGCTGGGCACGGTGGCACACCTGTAATCCCAACAATTTGGGAGACCAGGAGTTTCGAGACCAGCCTGGGCAACACAGCAAGACCTCGTCTTTACAAAAAATAAGAAATTAGCCAAGCATGGTATCGTGCCTACTCCCAGCTACTCAGGAGGCTGAGGCAGGAGAATCTCCTGAGCCTAGGAGTTCAAGGCTGCAGTGAACTATGATCTTGCCACTGTACTCCAGTCTGGGTAACAGAGCAAGATCCTGTCTCCAACACCACCCCCCCACCCCACCCCAACACACACACAACTCTTTCTCTGCTACAACCCAGTGTCTCAGCATTGCTGCATGCATCAGGTAATGGACCTCTTATGGTTACAATTCTATGTATTTAGAAATGGTGAGGCCAGCTGTAGAACAAAACCAAAGCACCTGAAACTCAGCCACAATGAATCTCTCTTTTTTTTTTTTTTGAGACACAGTCTTCCTCTGCTACCCAGGCTGGAGTGCAGTGGCGTGATCTCGGCTCACTGCAACCTTTGTCTCCTGGGCTCAAGCAACTCTTCAGCCTCCTGAGTAGCTGGGATTACAGATGCCCACCACCACACCCGGCAAATTTTTGTATTTTTAGTAGAGACGGGGTTTCACCATGTTGGCCAGGCTGGTCTCAAACTCCCGACCTCAGGTAATCTGCCCGCCTCAGCCTCCCAAAGTGCTGGGATTATAGGCGTGAGCCACCGTACCCAGCCCCACAATGAATCCTTAAAAGTCATTTTATTTCAGCTCTATATTAGTCGATATACTTGGTCCACAATACTGAAACATCACCTGGTTTCTGCCCAAACACTTTCAATAATGATTAACTTCCTCCTATGCAGTGTTCCATCTTCAAACTATTCTAGCTGCAAAATCATGCAGTGAACTAGATTCTGTCTCTGTGTAGTTCTTCTCCCTGCCTTGTTCTGTGAGGCAGCAAAGTACCAATCTAATCCTTTTCCCATGTGATATCCCTTATTATTTGAGACACCCAGTCTATCGATCACCAAAACTGTACATCTCTGGTTCTCTCAACTCTTCTGCAAGCAACATGGCTTCTAGATGCCTTAACTTCTTGGTTGCCTACCTCTGGCTGGATTAGGCTCCTTTTATTTCTTTAAATGTCTGTATCTTTGTACAAGTACTATCCATTACTAAAACAAGTTGATGCTTTAAGAATGTCACATATGAAGAAAAACAGGATGACTGAGCATTTTATAAACTTCCAAAACTCCAAAAACTTTCTCAGTTCTGAAGTTCTGAATAATACTCATCGTAAGTATGATTAGCCTTTAGTGATTTTAACTGCCCAAGAAATATAACAACAGTTGGTTAGGCTTCACTATGATGCCAATCCCTGATTAGTCTAGACCACACATTCCTAACAGAGGTGATAATTAACATGGATCTGCAGCCCTCTAGGAGCCACAATGTATGCACAGCATATCCACGGTATTAAAATTTCATTGAAGCAGGGGAGACATTAGGAAAAAAAGGTCTAAAAAGGCTTAGGGGTAAAAGAGAGGTACAATAATGAAAAAAATTGAGAAAACTAGTTTAAACCTGAACTGTCCAATGTAACAGTTACTAGCCACCGGTGGCTATTTAAAGGAAATTGCATGATCTCAAATACAGTCTCTCAGCCATAGCTACTATATTGGACAGTTCTACTATACAGTGTTGGTCTAAACAATTCTAAGGCATTTTACTAGGATTAATATATACTCTTCAAACATCTCAAGACTCAATTTATAGCCCTTACTCATTTCACTACTTGATATCTACACCATCTTCTTTCCCTCCTGACACACAATAAAAATACTGGCTCTTTGGCCAGGCGCGGTGGTTCATGCCTGTAATCCCAGCACTTTGGGAGGCCGAGGCGGGCAGATCACTTGAGGTCAGGAGTTCAAGACCAGCCTGGCCAGCATGGTGAAACCCTGTCTCTACTAAAAATACAAAAATTAGCCAGGTGCACACCTGTAATCCCAGCTACTTGGGAGGATGAAGTGGGAGAATCGCTTGAACCCGGGAGGCAGAGGTTGCAATGAGCCAAGATCGCGCCACTGCACAGGAGACAGAGTAAGACTCCATCTCAAAAACTAAACAGAAATTGATCACAATGATTGACTGGAGCAGCTTTTATAGAGTCCTTGGCTGAGCAGGGTAAAGTTTTAAAACTTCAATGCAAATTTTTACAATTCTGTGTAACACAAAGTTTTCTCTGATTAGGTGTGAAAATCTGCTAGTGATAGTTTAGTTTCATCAGATTGGAGACAGTCCTCCTGAGGAGTTCTAAGGAGTTTTGCAAGGCAGTCACATGTGTTTTATTATCAAGTATTATAAGAACAATAGAGGCTGGGTGCAGTGGCTCTTGCCTGTAATCCCAATACATTGCGAGGACTGCTTGAACCCAGGAGTTTAAGAACAGCCTGGGCCACATAGGGAGACCCCATCTCTACAGAAAACAAAAGAAAGAAAACCTTAGCCAAGTGTGGTGGCATGCGCCTGTAGTCCCAGCTACTTGGGAGGCTGAAGTGGGAAGATCACTTGAGCCCAGGATGTCAAGGCTGTAGCGAGCAGTGATCATATAACTGTACTCCAGCGGCTGGGTGACAGAGTGAGACCCTGTCTCAAAGAAAAAAAGAATCATACTGAGAAACAACAGAGTGCAGAGATAATCTACGAAATGGGAGAATATATTTGCAAAACATATATCTGATAAGGGCTTAATACCCTAAACATATAAGGAACTCAAGCAACTCAATTGCAAGAAAACAAATAATCTAATTTTTAAAATGGGCAAAGGACCTAAAAAGACATTTCTCAGAAGAAAATAGACAAATGACTAATAGGGGTGTGTGTGTGTGTGTGTGTGTGTGTGTGTGTGTGTGTGTGTAGCTCAACTAATCATCAGGGAAATGCAAACTAAAGCCACACTGAGATACCACCTCACACCCGTTAGAATGGCTACTACCAAAAAGACAAAGATTGGTGTTAGGATGTGGAGCAATGGCACCCTTGCACACTGTTGGTGGGAATGTAAATCAGTACAGCCATTATGGAAAACAGTATGGAGGCTGCTGAAAGTATTAAAAATAGAACTCCCATTTGATCCAATGATATAGCCAAAGGATATGGAATCAGTACGTGGAAGAGATCTGCACTCACATGTTCACTGCAGTATTATTCACAGTAACTGAAATATGGAATCAACTTAAGTATCCATCCATGGACGAATGGATCAAGAAAACGTAGTTGGTCAGGCATAGTGGCACACACCTGTAATCCTGCAACTTTGGGAGGCCAAGACAGAAGGATTGCTTGAGCCCAAGAGTTTGAGACCAGCCTAAGCAACATGGTGAAACCCCATCTCTAAAAAAATTAATACAGTAGCTGGGTGTGGTATTGTGCACCTGTGGTCCCAACTACTTGGGAGGATGAGGCAGCTGGGCCCTAAGGGATCAGGATCACTTGAGCCTGGGAGACCCAGGCTGTAGTGAGCTGTGTTCGCACCACTGTACTCCAGCCTGGGCAACACAGTGAGACCCTGCCTGTAAAAAAAGAAAAAAAAAACCGTGGCATATATGCACAATGGAATACTAGTCAGCCTTTTAAAACAAAGAAATTATGTCATTTGCCACAACGAGGATGAACCTGGAGAACATTACATTTAGTGAAATAAGCCTGGCACAGGAAAGACAAATAGAGCATAACCTCACTTATCTGTGGAATCTAAAGAAAACAAACTCATAGAAACAGAGAGTAAAATGGTAGTTACCAGAACCTGAGGGTAGGGTGACTGGGGAGACAATGGCCAAAGGACACAAAATTTCAGTTAAACAGGAGAAATAGGAGATCTGTTGTACATCATGGTGACTATGATTAATAACAGTGTACTGTATACTTGAAAATTGCTGAGACTAGATTTTAAACATTCACACCACAAAAAAAAAGTATGTGAGGTAATGCAAATGTTAAATAGCCTGATACAGCCATTCTACAATGTGTGTATATATATTTCAAAACATCATATTGTACACCACAAACATATACCATTTTTATTTATCAATTAAAAATTACTTGTCAAGTTAAAAAAAAAGAATTCTACTTAACAGGCATTTCATGGGGCTAGATTTATATTCCTCAACAATTTCCTTATGACCACTTCCAACAACATCCCAAAGTAAAACAAATTCATTTAGGTAAAGGATAATCTGTCTCCACACTTGGAATTTTTTAATGCTCCAAAACAAGTGTAGTAAATAATGCAAAGCATAACATTATGCCTGCTCAGGACAAATGGAGAAAACTTAAACTTAACCTCTACCACCATCCATGGGATACAAGCCCCAGAGTTCTCAAATCAGGAAGCCCACAGAATGTGGTACGGCACTGCTACTAAGAAAAGAGAGAAGGGGAAGAGGCGAGGGATGTTACACCAGGTGAAAGGCAAATGTGTCCTCTTCTCTGCTAGTGGAGGAAGGGTGGAGACTAACGGAAGACAGACTGAACTACAGTTGACCAAGACAATGGGGCTCAACAGAAGGCAAGGTGAACAGTCTCACTAAAAGCCAGGTGGCCTACCAGTTCCCATCTGAACACAAGCTGTGGCCAAAGACCTACAAATGTCCAGGTTGCATTTCTACCTCTCCTCCCCATTATTACTGCTATTCTCCAATCAAAGGACCCCAACCAGGGCTCTCCCTGCTCAGTGGCCCACTCCTCATACATTTAAGAAAAGGACATTAAGAAGGGATGTCGGCCGGGCGCAGTGGCTCACGCCTGTAATCCCAACACTTTGGGAGGCCAAGGTGGGTGGATCATCTGAGGTTGGGAGTTTGAGACCAACCTGGCCAACAACGGTGAAACCCCGTCTCTACTAAAAATACAAAAATTAGCCAGGTGTAGTGACTCACACCTGTAATCCCAGCCATACGGGAGGCTGAGGCACAAGAATCACTTGAACCCAAGGCCAGGTGCGGTGGCTCAAGCCTGTAATCCCAGCACTTTGGGAGGCCGAGGTGGGCGGATCACGAGGGCAGGAGATCGAGACCATCCTGGCTAACACGGTGAAACCCTGTCTCTACTAAAAATACAAAAAATTAGCTGGGCGTGGTGGCGGGCGCCTGTGGTCCCAGCTACTCGGGAGGCTGAGGCAGGAGAATGGCGTGAACCCGGGAGCGGAGCTTGCAGTGAGCCAAGACCGTGCCACTGCACTCCAGCCTGGGCAACAGAGCGAGACTCCGTCTCAAAAATAAATAAATAAATAAAAGAATCACTTGAACCCAGGAGGCAGAGGTTACAGTGAGCCGAGATTGCTCCATTGCACTCCAGCCTGGGCAACAGAGCAAAACTCTGTTTCTGGGAGAAAAAAAAAAAAGATCCAAGAGCCTTTCAGTTCAAAAGATGATCCAACTGACTGGAAGACTGGTTGAAAGGTGAACTTTTTTGCCACCCTCTCCCAACCACTCTCCACCCAACACCACAAAGAGTTAAGATCAAAGGAATCAAAAATTTTGGCCATATAGCATTTATCTCTTGCTGACATTAGAAAGGGAGAAGGGGGAAGTCACTCCTAGGGGAGTCAGACTGCCAACTCTTACCTAACAGCGTAAGTTTCTGCAGGCTTTTTTTTTTTTTAATTTTTTTTTTTTTTAGTTAATACATATATTAGGGGAATATATAGATAGACCTCTTTCCATATCAGAAGATGTAGATTACCTTATATTTAAAAAAATTTTTTTTCTTTTTTTTTTTTTTTTTAATTGATCATTCTTGGGTGTTTCTCGCAGAGGGGGATTTGGCAGGGTCATAGGACAATAGTGCAGGGAAGGTCAGCACATAAACAAGTGAACAAAGGTCTCCGGTTTTCCTAGGCAGAGGACCCTGAGGCCTTCCGCAGTGTTTGTGTCCCTGGGTACTTGAGATTAGGGAGTGGTGATGACTCTTAAGGAGCATGCTGCCTTCAAGCATCTGTTTAACAAAGCACATCTTGCACCGCCCTTAATCCATTTAACCCTGAGTGGACACAGCACATGTTTCAGAGAGCACATGGTTGGAGGTAAGGTCATAGATCAACAGCATCCCAAGGCAGAAGAATTTTTCTTAGTACAGAACAAAGTGATGTCTACTTCTTTCTACACAGACACAGCAACAATCTGATTTCGCTATCTTTTCCCCACCTTTCCCCCTTTTCTATTCTGCAAAACCGCCATCGTCATCATGGCCTGTTCTCAATGAGCTGTTGGGTACACCTCCCAGACGGGGTGGTGGCCGGGCAGAGGGGCTCCTCACTTCCCAGAAGGGGCGGCCGGGCAGAGGTGCCCCCCACCTCCCGGACGGGTCGGCTTGCTGGGCGGGGGCTGACCCCCACCTCCCTCCCGGACGGGGCGGCTGGCCGGGCGGGGGCTGCCCCCCACCTCCCTCCCGGACGGGGTGGCTGCCGGGCAGAGGGGCGCCTCACTTCTCAGACGGGGCGGCTGCCGGGTGGAGGGGCTCCTCACTTCTCAGATGGGGCGGCTGCCGGGCGGAGGGGCTCCTCACTTCTCAGATGGGGCGGCTGCTGGGTGGAGGGGCTCCTCACTTCTCAGATGGGGCGGCTGCCGGGCGGAGGGGCTCCTCATATCCCAGACGGGGTCGCGGCCGGGCAGAGGCGCTCCCCACATCTCAGACAATGGGCAGCCGGGCAGAGACGCTCCTTACTTCCTAGATGGGATGGCGGCCGGGAAGAGGCGCTCCTCACTTCCCAGACTGGGCAGCCGGGCAGAGGGGCTCCTCGCATCCCAGACGATGGGCAGCCAGGCAGAGACGCTCCTCACTTCCCAGACGGGGTGGTGGCCGGGCAGAGGCTGCAATCTCGGCACTTTGGGAGGCCAAGGCAGGCGGCTGGGAGGTGGAGGTTGTAGCGAGCCGAGATCACGCCACTGCACTCCAGCCTGGGCAACACTGAGCACTGAGTGAACGAGACTCCGTCTGCAATCCTGGCACCTCGGGGGGCCGAGGCTGGCAGATCACTCGCGGTTAGGAGCTGGAGACCAGCCCGGCCAACACAGCGAAACCCCGTCTCCACCAAAAAAATATGAAAACCAGTTAGGCGTGGCGGCCCGCGCCTTCTGCAGGCTTTTAAACCCTTAATTGAGTCTTCCAAATCAGATACTAGGGACACAAGACAACCACCACAAGTCCAACAATTTGCGAAAGGGCACAAGTTCATTTTGTAGCTACCATCCTCAGAACAGATATCCAAAGTAGAACATGCTTCTAAGTGCATCAGGCTTAAAATAAGTGTCATATCACCCAAGTACACTAACAGATTAGGCATAACATGTAACTATTAGGACATGTTAGGAATTTAATTCACAACCCCCTATCCCCATCAAAAACATTTTTAAGCAAGAATTTTAAATATGTTATGGAAGAAAAAAAAACGAGACAATAGTATTATAAACTCTCACATTCTGTAAACAAATTTTAAAAAAGACCATGGGATGTTTCCAATGGGAAACTGCAATATTTAGATTTATACTCTAAGCTTTGGAACACATCCTTCTAGGTTATATGATTCTAGCCTTTCACTGCCCTTCAGCAACTCTAAGTTGTGTAGAACTGAGGGAAATGCAAATCACTCTTGTCCATGGATAAGTAAATGAACTGTCTTGATAATCCTTCCCTGTGGAAAAGCCAGTTGTGTTCATTTCGACATTACTGACATTACTACATGTATGTCTGCTCTTTGTTGTCCTACTCTCCCTGAACTGGTTGTAACTGCTTGTCTTATGAGTTAAAATTTTTAACATGTGTTCATTTTATATTTAAAATGAGTTATGATCTTACCCTTTTTGAAAACTATCTTTTAACAGTATCTCCACCTGAGTTTTGAGGGTATTTGGATCATCTTCAGAAGCAAAATATAATATGTTTAGGAGAGAATTTAAGGAGTGACAAGAGTCCTCACAGTCTACAAAATGGTTACACAAAGGTTGGTCAGAATGCAATGGCTTCCAGGGCTGAAGCCAAGGCATTCAGATACGCTCCTTATTCACATACAAGAACAACTCTGGTATAACAGAACGAAGAGACTCCCAGACGCTCTGCTTCAAATCAGGGTTCTGAAACTTTAAAAGTAATTGCAAAAACCGCAATTACTATTGCACCGACTTAATATTAGCTGTACAAGTAAAAGTTCAGTTATCTGGCCTCCTTCAGCCTTCTACTAAATCCCTAAATCTGTAAAAGGTGGATGGTTTAATTTTCTTGTGCTCCTGTGAAGATATGAGTACAAAGATGGTAAGATGCCAGAGACCAATGCCTGGTACATTACCAATAAGTGGTATCTTATTACCATTAAGCATAATATCTCACCACCTCTTGAATTCCTGGAACCAATGCTGGTTACTGACAAAATGGAGTAAGCCCCTTATTAACCTGCTACAACATTCTCCAGCTCACAGTGCTATAGAATTCTTTGTTCTTTAGCCAGCGCAATTACAGAACCTACTTTAGTCTCCACTCTTGAAGATGAGCCCCCCAAACTGAGGAAATTTTCTACCAATTATAGAACTTAAAATTGTAGGCTGGGCCCAGTGGCTCACGCCTGTAATCCCAGCACTTTGGGAGGCTGAGGCGGCCGGATCACTTGAGGTCAGAAATTTGAGACCTCCCTGGCTAACATGATGAAAACCCCGTCTCTACCAGAAATACAAAAATTAGCTGGGCATGGTGGTGCATGTCTGTAGTGCCAGTTACTCAGGAGGCTGAGGTGGGAAAATCGCTTGAACCCGGGAAGTGGGGGTTACAGTGAGCTGAGATTGTACCACTGCACTCCAGCCTGGGTGACAGAGTGAGACCCTGACTCAAAAAAAAAAAAAAAGTCACATTCCCTTTCTTAACATTTAAATATTAGGGGAAATAGTGGCAGAGCTTTCAGGTTACCCTAACAAGCAATCAGTTCCCAAATGCTTTATGGAAAAGAGTAGTATAACGATTTGCTTTATGTTAAAAAAAAAATCATTTACACTTGGATTTTTTCAGGAAGAGAAAGATGGGAGATTTGCCTTCTTAATTACAATTTATTAAGTTTTTGGATATTTTCTTTATATATTCATTTGACAGCAGAAAGAACGAAACTATAAGTCACAGAGACAATGCAGGAGATGGGGACTGCCCACTGGATTACAGACCTGGCTCATGAGGGGCATTCACACATAAACTGACAGATGACTGAACAACTGATGATGTACTTTTGTAACTGGCTTTCTTCTCCTCCCCCATGACTCTCCAGCGTATCCGGTGAGACACGTTATAAACTTAAATGCCTTCTGGATACCTGAGATCCTAGCTTAGTTTAAAATCCAGTCCCATTTCAAAAGACTGTCAGATCTTGGGTTAGGCAAGGATTTCCTAGATATGTTAAACAAAAATGACAGGAGGCCACTGATTTGGACTGAGCTCCTGTACTAGGCCTCAAGAGACTAGATCAAACAAAACAGAGTCACTCTAGCTAAAGTTCCACGTCACCAAACGAAAAGTAAGTTGTGGGCTGGGTGTGGTGGCTCACGCCAGTGCTGTAATCCCAGCACTTTGGGAGGCCAAGGTGGGAGGATCACAAGGTCAGGAGTTCGAAACCAGCCTGGCCAACGTGGTGAAAACTGGTCTCTACTAAAAATACAAAAATTAGCTGGGTGTGGTGGCAGGCGCCTGTAGTCCCAGCTACTCAGGAGGCTGAGGCAGGAGAACAGCTTGAACCCAGAAGGCAAAGGTTGCAGTAAGCCGAGATCGCGCCACTGCACTCCAGCCTGGGTGACAGAGCGAGACTCCGTCTCAAAAAAAAAAAAAAAGAAAAAAGGAAAAAAGAAAAGTAAGTTGTTTATCTGACCTTCTAAAAAATCAAGAGAGACAGAATACCCAAACAAGCCAGTTTTAGCAGGCATGATAAGGAACTACCCTCTGCTTTAATCCTTACAAAAAAGTAACCTGATGTTAACCAATCAGTTATCTTTCAATTACTGTTTCACTGTTCCCACCTTACAAAGCCCATTCTTCTGCTACTGCCCATTGGGAGTTTTCATCCTATTTTGTAGAATGGAAGCTGCCCTCATTCACGAATTGCAAATAAAAGCCAACTAAGATCTTTAAATGTGTTGTAATTTTGTCTTTTAACAGATAGCACATCAAAAGCACAATCCCTAGAAGGATTGACAAATTGGACTTCATCAACACTAAGAGCTTCTGCTCTTCCAAAAACACTATTAATAGAATGGAAAGACACAGACTGAGAGAAAATATTTGGAAATCACATATCTGACAAAAAGACTTGTAATCAGAATATACAAAGAACTCTCAAACACAGTAAGAAAAAAACCAACCCAATAAAATAAGTGGGCAAAAGATCTAATAGATGCTTCACCAAAGAATAAGCAGGTGAAAACATGTCTGTTCAACACTGCTAATCTTTAGGGAAATACAAATTAAAAACATAATGAGACACCATCACATACCTATTAGAAAGGCTAAAAATTTTTTAAATGACCATGCTGTGTTGGCAAGGATATGGAGCAGATGGAACTCCTGTACACTGCTGGTAAGAATGTGAAAGGGAAAAACCATTTTAAAAGTTAGATATATACTTTGGGGTGATGAAAATGTTCTGGGCCGGGTGTGGTGGCTCATGCCTGTAATCCCAGCACTCTGGGAAGCAGAGACAGGCAAATCACTTGAGCCCAGGAGTTTGAAGAAATCCTGGGCAACATGGCAAGACCCTGTCTCTACAAAAAATTACAAAAATCAGCTGGGTGTGGTGGTGTACACCTGTGGTCCCAGCTCCATGAGAGTGAGACCCTGTTTCCTTAAAAAAAAAAAAAAAAAAAAAAAAAAGGAAAGAAAGAAAGAAAAAAGGAAAGGAAAGGAAAAGAGAAAAGAAACGGTTCTGTAATTAGATGGTGACGGTTGTACAACCTTGTGAATATTTGAACTGCACACACTTTAGGCTGGGCGCAGTGTCTCACGCCTGTAATCCCAGTACTTTGGGAAGCTAAGGTGGAAAGGCTGAAGCTGGGAGTTTGAGAGCAGCCTAGACAACAAAGTGAGACATTGTCTCTACCAAAAAAAAAAAAAAAAATTAGCCAGGTGTGGTGGCATGTGCCCTTAGTTCCAGCTACTCGTGGGGCTGAGGTGGAAGGATCACCTGAGCCTGGGAGGATGAAGGTGCAGTGAGCTGTGATCAAACTATTACACTCCAGCCTGCGCAACAGAATGAGACCCTGTCTCCAAAAACAAAACAAAACAAAACAAAACACGCACACTTTACATAGGCAAATTTTATGATGTATTAAGTATTTCAACTTTTTAAACAAAGTTAAAGCATATGCCTACCATATGCCCCAACCATTCCCCTCCGAAACAGCTACCTACCCAAAGGAAATGAAAACACAGATCTAGACAGAGACTTGTGCACCAGTGTTCACAGCAGCTTTTGTTGTAACAGCCAGAAACGTGAATCAACCCAAATGTCCATCAACAGAAAGGCTAATCAAACTGTGATATAGCTATACAATGAAATACCACTGAGCTACAAAAAGGAATGAACTATAGATACATACAGCACAAATAAAATAATAATGTCGAATGAGGCCAGATACTCCCCCCCAAATAAATACACAGTATACTTAAAGTATATATACAGATCCCATTTATACAAAATACCAGAAAATGCGAACTAGAAAGCAGATCAGTGGTTACCTGGAGAGGGGTAAGGAAGGGCAGTAGGCAGGAGGGTGAATTACGAAGAAATACTGGGATACTTCAGGGTAATGGATTTGTTCATTCTCTTGACTATGGTGATGGTTTCACACAATACATACCATCTTTGAATGGTATGTATTCATAGATACATATGTATGTCAAAACTCAAAGTGTATAGTTTCAACATGTATGGCAATTATATTCCAATGAAGCTGTTCTTTAAAAAATAAATAAATAAAAGGTATAGTCAGAGGCCAGGAGGCTGCAGATATCTATCTGAGGGGATGACATGGAAGCAGCAGCCACTCTGCATTGCCTCAGTTCTCACTGCATTCACGATTGCTGAATCTGGATTCCAGCTTCAGCTTTTCTTAATTCTCTGCTGCAAACGTCTGCCTTGTGTTGTGTTAGCACCTAAAGTCACATTAGACAGAAACTTTCCACTCACCCCGTCTGTCCTTCCCAAGAGGAACACTTTCTCTTGTTCTCATACCCAAAACCACTTCCTATGTCCCTTTACCCCAACCATCACATCTGGTTTAGCCCCAGCCATACAAATCTTTCCCTAACCTCTTTACATTTCCACAATCCTAGTTGCATCATTACTTCTTGACTCCTAATTTATTTCCTTACCCCAGGCTCCCTTCACTCTACTCCAGCCTGCTTTGCTACACACAGGAGCAGCTACTGAAAGCCAAAGCTCCTTGGGCTAATTCCTCAGGCACTCCAAGAGCTTGGCTCCATATCCCTTCCGAGGGTCCCACAGCCCAGGTCTATGTGTTTGCTTGCTACAGCTGACTTCCTCTTCTATCTTAAACCTGCCTTGCCACACTTTCCCAACCCCCAGATCCTGGAAGGGGCATCCCTCTTGTATTCTGTGACTCAAACCCAGCAACTCCTCAGGAGACTAGTTGCAAACACCTGACTGAAGGGACAATTCAGAGCAGAGGCTGAGCCACTCGGATTTTAAGTCAAATCTGAATGCCAACGCGCAGCAGGGTGAGGCAGGATCAGGCACTAGGCATGAAGGCTGCAGCAAGAGATGGTATCAGGGCAAATCAGACCCCAGTGATGGTCAAAAGAAAGAAGAATCCACTTCATACCAACTAGGACCACTAGAATTAAAAAAAAAAACAGAAAACGAGTTTTGACGAGCATGTGGAGAAATTAGAACTCTTCTACACCGCTGGTGGGAATGTAAAGTGGTGCAGCCATTTTGGAAAACAGTCTGGCAGTTCCTCAAAGAGTTAAACATATGACCCAGGCCAGGCACGATGGCTCATGCCTGTAATCCCAGCACTTTGGGAGGCTGAGGTGGGTGGATTGCTTGAGTTCAGGAGTTCAAAACCAGCCTGGTTAACATGGTAAAACCCCATCTCTATAAAAAATAAAGAAAAAAACCAAACACACACACATGACCATTCCTATGGGATCTGCTCTGCCATCTCTACAAAAAATAAACAAACAAACCAACCAACCAAAATGTATGACCATTCCTATGGGATCTGCTCTGCCAGTGTCGACAGTGATCTTTGGTTCAGGAGCTGTTTTCTCTTCCCCCAAGAAAATCATGGTCGACTTTTGATTTTTATTTTCAAACCTTCTTGGTAGTTGATTTTAAAATCATGATCCCAGAAAAGAACCATACAATAAATTTAGTCCAATTTTATGCCTTCTGTCCTAGTGAAAGACCTGTCTTCTGTTTCCCATGACGGTGGTTACCCAGGACTTCTTGGGTGTCCTAATTTATTGTTGAATAACTGTTATTTACTTGGTTTCACTGTTTGAAACTTACTGGTTAAACAACTGGTTCAGATTCTGTCCTCTGGAGAGATGCAATTTTGCAAACATACTGATTTTATATATTGAGGGTGCCATGTTTGAGTCTCTGTATTCAGTGGAGCATATCAGAGTTCATGTTAATTTTTACATTGGTGTACATCTAAGTAGAGGGGCTGCTCTGGTCTGAATGTTAATGCCCCTGCAAAATTTGTATGTTGGAGCCTAAGGCCCAAAGTGACAGTATTAAGACGTGGGGCCTGGCTGGGTGTGGTGGCTCATGCCTGTAATCACAGCACTCTGGGAGGCTGAGGTGGGTGGATCACCTGAGGTCAGGAGTTCAAGACCAGCCTGGCCAACATGGTGAAACTCCGTCTCTACTAAAAATATAAAAATTAGCCCAGAGTGGTGGCATGCACCTGTAATCCCAGCTACTTGGGAGGCTGAGGTAGGAAAATCACTTGAACCTGGGAGGCGGAGGTTGCAGTGAGCCGAGACTGAGCCATTGTACTCCAACTTGGGCGACAAGAGAGAAACTCTGTCTCGGGAAAAAAAAAAAAAAAAAAGTAGAGGTAGAGCCTTTGGGGGAGTGATTAAGTCAGGAAGGGCAGGGACCTTGTGAATGGGACTAGGGCCCTTAGGAAAGTGGCTGCAGCGAGCCACCTCGCCCCTTCCACCATGTGAGGACACATAAAAGACACCATCCAGAAGTGTGACCCTCACTAGACAGTGAATCTATTGGAGCCCTGATAATGGACTTCCTCAGCCTCCAAACTGTGGGCAATAAACTTCTGTTGTTTATAAATTATCCAGTCTAAGATATCTTGCAACAATAGCCCAAAGGAACTAAGACAGAGGTTAACTGAAGATGTAAGGGATTTCTTCATTTTAGGAGGTGTTTAATTGTATTACTTGAGTTGAATTAGCAAGAGTAATGGTAAGCTGATTTAGTAAGAGTATGGGTAAGTGTGAGAAGCAGGGATGGTGAGGAAGGAGAGGAAGGTCACTCGACTTAAACACAGTATCGCTAGCAGAGGAGAGGTAGAAAAGGCGAGGGTACTGGACAGGCACTGATTTTGGCACAGTGAGAAAGTTGTGGGTAGCAGAGACATTCTTCGCCGAGAGTCGTCGGGGTTTCCTGCTTCAACAGTGCTTGGACGGAACCCAGCGCTCGTCCCCCACCCCGGCCGGCCGCCCGTAGCCAGCCCTCTGTCCCCTCTTCACTGCACCCTCGGACCATCCCAAGGCCCCCGCCGCCGCTCCAGCGCCGCGCAGCCACCGCCGCCACCTCTCCTTAGTTGCTGCCATGACAACTGCGTCCACCTCGCAGGTGCGCCAGAACTACCACCAGGACTCAGAGGCCGCCATCAACGGCCAGATCAACCTGGAGCTCTACGCCTCCTACGTTTACCTGTCCGTGTCTTACAACTTTGACCGCGATGATGTGGCTTTGAGGAACTTTGCCACATACTTTCTTCACCAATCTCATGAGGAGAGGGAACATGCCGAGAAACTGATGAAGCTGCAAAACTATCGTGGTGGCCAAATCTTCCTTCAGGATATCAAGAAACCAGTCTGTGATGACTGGGAGAGTGGGCTGAATGCAATGGAGTGTGCATCACATTTGGAAAAAAATGTGAATCAGTCACTATTGGAACTGCACAAACTAGCCACTGACAAAAATGACCCCCATTTGTGTGACTTCATTGAGACATGTTACCTGAATGAGCAGGTGAAAGCCATCAAAGAATTGGGTGACCACGTGACCAACTTGCACAAGATGGGAGCCCCCGAATCTGGCTTGGCAGAATATATCTTTAACAAGAACACCCTGGGAGACAGTGATAATGAAAACTAAGCCTCAGGCTAATTTCCCCATAGCCATGGGGCGAATTCCCTGGTCACTAAGGCAGTGCATGCATGTTGGGATTTCCTTTACCTTTTCTATAAGTTGTGCCAAAACATCCACTTAAGTTCTTCGATTTGTACCATTCCTTCAAATAAAGAAATTTGGTACCAAAAAAAAAAAGAAAGAAAGTTGTCGGTAGCAAAGCTATTACAGGACAGAAATGTGGTATGTGGTCGAGGCTGTCACTGCACTACTCATCACTCACACTGAGGTGACTGGGAGGAGCCGGGGAAGGACAGAAAGGAGTCACAGGGAGCTCATTTCCAGCCCCGCTAAATGGGAGGGAGAAGGCTGCCATCTCTGTGGGACAGCTTGTGGCTTCTCATGTCCTCCCTTTTGACCTCTGTAGTCCTGCCAGGCCCAGATTATTTTGCTCACTTGTTGCTTGCTCTCCTGAAATAATCTGATGAACAAAACAATTTCATTAAAGATGAGTGAATACTTCTAACAATAACTCCTCACTCTGAAAATAAGTAGGTAGAGGAAAACAATGTATCCTGTCTTTTAAGTAGGAACTATATTAGTTGAAAAGCAGGGGCGGGGGGGGGGGCGGGAATCTAACAGGTGAATGCCAGTAGAAGGAATGTATTTAAAATGATTGAAATAAAAAATAATTTTGCAATCTTTAATGAAGGGATTCAGGTAAACATCACCAGTGATACCATAGGTGAAAGGTGGATGGGAAACTAAAAGATCCACATGGCACCAAAGTATTACCCCACAGAGCACTTCCTAATCACACAGGAATGGGGGTAGGGGAAGGAAAAGTATCTTTACAATGCAGTGATATGGCTGTGACTACCTTAATACCAT
The DNA here is from genome assembly GCF_000001405.40 of Homo sapiens. Taxonomy (NCBI): domain Eukaryota; kingdom Metazoa; phylum Chordata; class Mammalia; order Primates; family Hominidae; genus Homo; species Homo sapiens. The sequence goes on along the minus strand of NC_000003.12, from coordinate 128,763,601 downwards.
GATTAAACTTACTGTCTCTAATAGTGGAACAATCAGACATTAAAAGGTTCCTAATGAAGTATTCTTGTCAAAAATATATAAGCTAGGCCGGGCTTGGTGGCTCACGCCTGTAATCCCAGCACTTTGGGAGGCCAAGACAGGCGGATCACAAAATCAGGAGATCGAGACCATCCTGGCTAACAGGGTGAAACCCCGTCTCTACTAAAAATACAAAAAAAAATTAGCCAGGCGTGGTGGCGGGTGCCTGTAGTCCCAGCTACTCGGGAGGCTGAGGCAGCAGAATGGCCTGAACCCAGGAGGCGGAGCTTGCAGTGAGCTGAGATCGCGCCACTACACTCCAGCCTGGGCGACAGAGCGAGACTCCGTCTCAAAAAAAAAAAAAAAAAAAAAAAATATATATATATATATATATAAGCTAAATGTACTCAAGCCTTTAGACCCAACTTCCACTTCACAAGAAAGAGTGGGGATAGAGAAATACATTAAACATCAAAAGATGCACCCAGACAAACCTAGAATGTGGGACACTCTGTTAGGACAACTGGCTTGATCTTTCCAAAACTAAAGATAATGACAGAAAAAGGGAAGGAGGGACCACATTCTAGATTAAAGGACTTGAGAGCATTTACAGGTGAAGTATCATGAGGTCTAATTTACTTTGTAGTAGCTCAACTGAAAGAACAGATAAAGCAAATACAGAAAATGCTAACTGTTGAAAGTAGGTAGGAGAGTGTATCTTTTACACTGAGTCTCTTTGCTTTGTATATGTCTGACATTTTTTCATAATAAACTGTGAAGCTATTCCACATTAGAGGAGGAGTGGCTTTCTGAACAGGACAGTTGAGGCAGAAGCTCTCACTGGATCCTAATCTAGCTAAACAGATTCTGCTTCTAATCTCCACCCTCAGGCTCTCCCACTGAAGTGGGGTCCAGGTAACTTCAACAATAAGAAATGCCCCAAAGCAAACCTTCCAAAGTACTCCAAGTTTGTCTGACCAGTAACTCTCACCCCATCTCACTCCCCACTCCCAGAAGGCACTCAATACTCACTGAGATTTAAGTAATCCTTCAGGTCTTCATATAATCACTTCCATTTTGAGGGTCACGGTGGGAAGTAGGGGGGTGATAAGACTTGAGGAGGTTAAGAAAAACTGTGACGGGGAGGAATTTTATTATAAAGAATAAGTAACAGTTTGCTTGGTTAACTGTGTTGGGAGAAGAGAGCTTAAACGGGAATGGAACACTTAGTAAACACTCCTTCCAATTCCTTGGGAAGAGTTAGCAGGAACCCTTAAAATTTCCACTTTTCTTTTCCCTTGTCCCTCCTCCTTAGCCTTTTTCATCTTTAATCTTCACACAGGAAAGTCTATCTGTAGCCTAGAACAAACTGACCCATAGTTCAACACTGCCAGCACAATTTCCCCTCCGGGTTTTCAAATTTATTAGCACAAAGTTATAGAAAGTATTCCTACATAAATTACTGTGGTAAAATATTAAAACAATTACCATTTTCACCATTTTTAAGTGTATATTTCAGTGGCATTAAGTACCATGAAGTTTATTTTTGTTTTACAATAGATTTAAAATCCCACTTTAAGATAACTGGCAAAACATGCAAACATGGTACCAAGTCCAGGGAGAGGAAATGTAAAGGCTCCACACCTTCTGCACAGTTAAGTGCACCACAGACATCTTGATGGGGCTGGTGCCACAGTTTGGCAGGCATAAATATAAATGAAAACATTAAATGCTCGGTTGCTTTTCAGTAATGCCTAAAGTAGTCTTATTCACATCCCTATTTCAATATGTTAATTAAATTGTATACAATCACACTCTGTCCCTGTAATTTAACTAAAATTCCAATTTTCAAAACAGGATTTATAGGTTGACAGCTGCTGCTCTAGAGGAGAGGTGCCTTTTTCCAGAGGGCAAATCTGTGGCAGAGAACTCAGTCTTAAAGATCTAAATAAAGGACTGTTAACTCAGAGGTCATGCCAATCTGGACACAGACCTTGGTACATAAGGCCTGTTCAGAGGCTGGTGATCTTAACACAGATTCATTTCCCAAGCACCTGCACCAGCCCAACTGCTAGAGATGCAAAGATGACCAAGATAGTCTCCCTACCTCAAGCTTGGTTTAAGGAGACCCTGGATAAGCAGACAGGAAAATGGCAATAAATGTATGATGTCATAAGAATAGTCAAGACTTCTTCCTCCGAGTGGGATGGGGGGGTATAGAGGACTTTGACTATGGTTTGCCATATTTTAAGTTTTAAAACAATGACTATGTATGACTTCGTAATCAAAAGAAACTCTCAACACAAAAGGGGTTAGAGGTGATCAGGAATCTAACCCATTATATGAGGGCTTTAAGAACGCTTCCCAAAGAGGATACCTAGATGTTGAATCCTCAACTGGGTACAGAGATTATCTTAGAAGAATACAGGCCAGAATTTTAACATGGGGAGGAGGCAACAGGCTGAGAAACCTCAAGAACAGCTGTGCTTACTTTTTATACACTTACGCCAAGGATTTGGGGGCTGGAAAAATCTGACCTCTTGGTACTCTTGTTTCTACTTAGCTTTAGAAACAAATTCGTGCATCTGTACAATTTCCATCCTTATCTGTAAGAAAGGCTTCCTCTCCACCTCTTAGGGTTGTAGGGAGGATTCCACAGGCAAATGGGAGATGAAGCTTTTTAAGGGATAAAACACTTTATATAGGTCTATACCTTAACTGAAGTCGCTATGGGACCGGCAGTGGAAATGACATGATTTTGCCTAGGTTCCCCTACAAAGAGGATTCGACCACAAAAGATTTCAAGGCCTACACTAGTTCCATATGTTTATAACTCAGTTTAAGCTAGAGGCTGTTTTTCTGCAGCTCTTGCTAGCCAAAAACCTAACCACCTTACACTCCAGGCTTTGCCTTTGTTATGATTGCTAGATGAATTTCCTTGCTTCCACACAAAGGCTTGACAATCAACAGACGGTTAGGTGACAGCATTGACCTTATTGCTCATCCCAGTATATCTAAGGGGTACTCACAAACCAGCTATTAGCACTCTACATTGTAGGAAGTGTTTCTGAAACAGAGATATGGGAAGGATCAATATAAGAATCCTCCAAGATAAAACCTATCTCTGGGAAAAAGTGACTCCATTATTGCTGGAGTATTTGGGCTCTCCAGAGATAAACAGAACCAATAGATTACACATAAAGACAGTTATTACAAGGAATTGGCTCACAGGATTATGTAGGCTGAGAAGTCCCATGACCTGCAGTTGGGAGGTCTGAGAATCGGGAGAGCTGACAGAGTTAAGCTCTAGTTGCAGCCTGGAGTCCAGAGGGCAAAGAACACCTATGTCCCATCTCAAGCACGGTCAGGCGGAGAAAGAAGACTTTCCTGCTCAGCCTCCTTCTCTAAGCAGCCTCCCGTGGATGAAGCTCACCCACGCTGGGGAGGGCAGCCACCTTCACTCAGTCCACCAAATCTCATCCAGAAACACCCTCACAGGCACACCCAGAATAATGTTTAGCCACATATCTGGGCACCTGAGGACCAGTCAAATTGACTCATAAGTCATCATCGAGGCTGGGCATGGTGGTTCACGCCTATAATCCCAGCACTTTGGGAGGCCGAGGCAGGCAGATCACCTGAGGTCGGGAGTTAGAGACCAGCCTGACCAATATGGAGAAACCCCGTCTCTACTAAAAATACAAAATTAGCCGGGCGTGGTGGTGCATGCCTGTAATTCCAGCTACTTGGGAGGCTGAGACAGGAGAAGTCGCTAGAACCCAGGAAGCGGAGGTTGCAGTGAGCCAAGATTGCGCCACTGCACTCCAGCCTGGGTAACAAGAGCGAAACTCCGTCTCAGAAAAAAAAAAAGTCACCATCATACACGGGCAGATATGAAAACCTAACAGAGCTTACTTGAGGTTCAGGTACCATGGGGTGTTGTAACGCCCAAGCAAAAGCTGAGATCTTCAGGCTGAGGAGGAAGTGTTAAAGAACAGAATGTCAAAGGTTTCACAACACTTTGCTTCTATTTCAAAAGCTACATTCCTGCAAAGGAAGTGTAAAAGGACTAAAACTTAAAACCCATTCTCAAACTGGGCCCACAAGATCTTGGCAGAATAGACGTCCACCTGCCTCACAAGATCACCCAGTGCACAGCCTCCCTCAGACAACTTTTAGGTAGTCATGGCTAGAAACTGATCCGAGATGGCAATGCACAGCAACTGGGATAATCGGGGAAAGGAACTAACATAAACCTTCCTTACCTACCACATTAAGCTCCTGTGGCTTTTCCACCGCTAACACTGAATTCCTGCCACATTATGAGGAGCTAATACACAGTTTACTTAATCTTATTCCTCTTAGGTTAAACCATTTGCCTCAGAATGTAAATTCTCAGTTTCCCTGTAGCTACTCAACAATCTCAATGTAACTATGAAACCATATTTCATGGCCAGAGACCTATCAGCTTATGGCACATTTGGATTTCTTTGGAAAAAGAATTTGAACAGAAGATACTGATCTTAATTTAACTCATTTGTAAAACACAGGGGCTGTAAGTTGAAGATCACTGAACTTAAAAACAAGCTGTAGTCTGTTTACTACTCAACCAAAGCCTGAGTGAGTAGCATTAGAACAGTAAGTCCCCTTAAAACTCTGAGCCAGGGATTTTGTTTCTTTGTGGCAACAGAAACATTTCAAATGAACTCATATGTTAAATCTTAAGCAAAAAACAGATAAAACACAGCTATTCGTGGGATGGCCGAGAGCAATCCAATGCTACCAAAGGATCATGTTCAAGGAACCCTCAAGAGTTCTGTCCACAACCAGAATATCATTGATATACTCCAAACCCTTTTATCTGATATATGAGAAAACTAATGCTCAGAGACAGAAGCATGCTTGCCCAAGAGTAAAAATCCCTAAAGATTTTTCGTTGTTGTTTTAAAGTCATTCATTCTTGATGAATGTCACTACAAACAAGCAGAATTAAAAAACCAAACGCAGGAGGCTGGGCCAGTGGCTCACGCCTGTAATTCCCAGCACTTTGGGAGGCCGAGGCGGGCGGATCACGAGGTCAGGAGACCGAGACCATCCTGGCTAACACGATGAAACCCCGTCTCTACTAAAAATACAAAAAAAAATTAGCTGGGCGTAGTGGCGGGCGCCTGTAGTCCCACCTACTCGGGAGTCTGACGCTGGAGAATGGCGTGAACCTGGAAGGCGGAGCTTGCAGTGAGCCGAGATAGCGCCACTGCACTCCAGCCTGGGCGACAGAGCCAGACTCTGTCTCAAAAAAAAAAAAAAAACAAAAAAACAAACACTGGGGTGGTGGCTCACACCTGTAACCCCAGCAATTTGACAGGCTAGGGCAGGAAGATCATTTGAGGCCGGAAATTCAAATCCAGCCTAACCAATATAGTGAGAGGCTGCCTCTACAAAAAAATTTAAAAATTAGCCAGGTGTGGTGGCTCACACCTGTAATCCCAGTGATTTGCGAAGCCAAGGACAGAAGACTGCTTGAGCCCAGAACTTTGAAGTTAGAGTGAGCTACAATCGCACCACTGTACTCCAGCCTGGGTGACAGAGCAAGACCCTGACTCTAAAAATAAAAAAAATAAAATAGGCTGGGCGCAGTGGCTCACAAGTGTAACTCCAGCACTTTGGGAGGCTGAGGCAGGAAGACTGCTTAAGCCCAGGAGTTGGAGACCAGCCTGGGCAACACAGCAAGACCTTGTCTCTGTTTTCTTAAAAATATTTTTCTTAGGCCAGGCACAGTGGCTCATGCCTATAATCCCAGCACTCTGGGAGGCTGAGGCAGGTGGATCACTTGAGGTCAGGAGTTCAAGACCAGCCTGGCCAGCATGGTAAAACCCCACCTCTACTAAAAATACAAAAATTAGCTGGGCGTGGTGGTGGGCACCTGTAGTCCCAGTTAGGAGAATGAGGCAGGAGAAATCACTTGTAACCCAGGAGGCAGAGGTTGCAGTGAGCTGAGATCATGCCACTATACTCCAGCCTGGGTAACACAGCAAGACTTGGTCTCAAAAAAAAAAAAATTGTTTTTAAAATAAATAAAAATATTTTATTTAAAAAATAAAATATAAAACATTCATCTTGTGCCTCTGCCTCGCCTGTACTTCTAGCTTTGCTTTCAAACTGCTAAGCACACCTGGCCTCAATATCACACTTGTTCCCTCTCCTGCACCATCAGTGGCTCAAATGCCATCTTTCCCCAACCATCCTACATAAAATGGCACACTTTCACTTCACCCTGTGTTACTGTTCTCCATAGCACTTATCTGATATTCATGTTCTATCAAGTATGGCTGGGAGAGAAAAAAATGGAGAATAACTGCTTAATTTGCATAGTCTCTGGTTGGCATGAGGAAAGGTTCTGGAAATAGGTGGTGGTGATGTATGTACAAGAGTGGGACTGGGCCAGGTGTGGTGGCTCACACCTGCAATCCCAGCACTTTGGGAGGTGGAGGTGAGTGGATCACCTGAGGCCAGGGATTCAAGCCCAGCCTGGGCAATATGGCAAAACCCCGTCTCTACTAAAAAATACAAAAATGAGCCGGGCGTGGTGGTGCGCGCCTGTAGTCCCAGCTACTTGGGAAGCTGAAGCAGGAGAATCGCTTGAACCCACGAGGTGGAGTTTGCAGTGAGCTGAGATCATGCCACTGCACTCCAGCGTGGGTGACAGAGCGCAACTCCGTCTCAAAAAAAAAAAAAAAAAGATAGCGAATACTAAGGTGAAAAACCCCAACAGTCCAAATATGAACCTCGGCCATTACCACACTGTTTTCATTGGTGTAGCTTTGCAGTACATTTTGAAATCAGGAAGTGTGAGACCTCCAACTTGGTTGTGTGTTTTCAAGATTATTTTGGCTACTGGAGATCCCATGATTTTCTGTATCCATGTTAGGATGGATTTTTCTATTTTCTGCAAAACCATCATTGAGATTTTAGTAAGAACTGCATTGCATTTCTTACTTTGGGGAGTACTGTGATCCTAACAATAGTAAGTTTTTAAATCCATGAACATGAGTTACCTTTCCATTTATTAAAGTCTTTAATTTCTTTTTGCAATGTTTTGTAGCTTTCTATACATGTCTTTCTCCTACCTAATTTACTATTTTATTCTTTTCCATGATATTGTAAATATAACTGCTTTCTTAATTTCCTTTTCAGATTGTTCATTGTTAATTTTTTTTTTTTTGAGACAAAGTCTTGCTCTGTTGCCCAGGCTGGAGTGCAGTGGCACAATCTCGGCTCACTGCAACCTCCGCCTCCTGGGTTCAAGCGATTCTCCTGCCTCCAAGCGATTCTCCTGCCTCAGCCTCCCACCTCCCAAGTAGCTGGGATTACAGGCATGTGCCACCACACCCAGGTAATTTTTGTATTTTTAGTAGAGACGGGGTTTCACCATGTTGGTCAGGCTGGTATCGAACTTCTGACCTTGTGATCCACCCGCCTCAGCCTCCCAAAGTGCTGGGATTACAGGCATGAGCCACTGTGCCCGGCCCGTTGTTAATGTTATAGAAACAGAACTTTTGTTGATTCTGTAACCTGCAATTTTGCTGAATGAGTTTATCAGATCCAAAAGGGTTTTATGTGTGAGAAATTTTTACAGTTCCCTACATATAAAATCATATCACTTTAGGGGGGAGGGATAGCATTAGGAGATATACCTAATGCTAAATGACGAGTTAATGGGTGCAGCACACCAGCATGGCACATGTATACATATGTAACTAACCTGCACGTTGTGCACATGTACCCTAAAACTTAAAGTATAATTTAAAAAAAATCATTACCATTATTCATGAAATTAAAAAATCTTCCAAAAGTTAAAAATAAAATAAAATAAAATAAAATCATATCACTTTCCAGGTTGAGGAGATGGCATCGTCCAAGGTGGAAAGAGTACAGTCCCAGGAACTGAGCAAAGAAAGGTGGTTATGAATTTGAGATTCTCATCTCGGGCCTAGTCAATCTAGGTAAGGGATTGTCAATTTTGTTAGTCTTTTCCAAGAACTAACTTTTGGATTTGCTGAATTTTTCTATTTTATTTATCTCTACTGTATTAGTTCCTTCTTTCTGCTAGCTTTGAGTTTGTTGTTTTCTACTTTGTTAAGGTGTAAAAAGTTAGATTGGTGATTTGAGATCTTCATCCTTTTTTTAATGAAGGCATTTATAGCTGTAAATTTCCTCCTTTAACACTGCTTTTGTGGCATATCATAAGTTTTGCAATGTTTTATTTTCTGTCTGTTAAATTGTTTCTAATCCTTTTTTTTCTAATTGCCCTTGTGATTTCTCCTTTGACCACTGGTTCTTGAAGAGGGTGTTACTTAATTTACATAAAGTCTCCAGTTTTCCTTCTGTTACTGATTTCTCACTTCATCCCATTTTGTCAAAGAAAATACTTGGTATCGTATTTTTAAAAATCTCTTGAATCTTAATTTCTGGCCTAATGTATGGTCTATCCTAAAGAAGGTCCTAAGTCCACTTAAGAAGAAGATGCATTCTGTTGTTGAGTAGAATGCCCCGTGTATGTCTGTAAGATCTACTTGGTTTCTTATATTGTTCAAGTACTATATTCTATTTCCCTACTTACCTTCTGCCTGGTTCTTCTACCCATTAAAGTCCCCAACTACTGCTGTAGAACTATTTCTCCCTTCCATTATCAGTCATGTTTCACATATTTGAGTGGTCTGTTATTAGTGTGTTTTGTCTTTTTGCCGTATTAAACCTTTTATTAATATATAATGTCCTGCTTTGTCTCGTAAACTTTTTTGATTTAAAGTATATTTTGTCTGATATTAGTGTAGCAACCCCGATCTCTTTTGGTTACTATATGAAGAGAGTATCTTTTTCCATCCTGTCACATTAAATTTTTTTGTCTTTCATCTAAAGTGGGTCTCTTATGGCTAGAAGCTGGATGTTTTTCTATCCATTCTGCCAATCTGTCTTTGGACTGCAGGGTTTAAGCTATTTACATTTAAACACTGATAAGGCAGAACTTTTGTCATTTTGCTGTTTGTTTTGTATATATGCCTCACAGTTGTTTTGTCCCCTATTTCCTGCATTATTATCTTATTTTGTGTTTAGTTGATCTTTGTAGAAAAACATTTTAATCCCCTTTTCATTTCCTTTTGTGTATATCCTACAGTTATTTTCTTTTTGGTTACCATGGGGCTGATATTTAACACCCTGAAGTTATACTACTCTGATGTGAATGTATACCAAGTTAACTTCAATAACATATAAAAACTGCTCCTATACAGCTCCAACCCCATCACCTTTCAGCCATTAATGCCACAAAACTACATCTCAATGTGTTGTGTGTCCAAAACACAGACTAATAACTTCTTGATACATAAGTCTCTTAAATCATGTAGAAAACAGAAACACTACTAGCTTTTATAATTTTTCATGTATTTACCTTTATCAGACATGATTATATCTTCATACAGATTTGATTTCCTGTCTAATGTCCTTTTATTTCAACCTTCATGACTTCCTTCATGAAGGGAGATCTAGTGGTAACAAACTCGTTAAGCTTTTGAATCATCTGGTGCTGTAGTTTTAGTGTTTGTGTTCCTCCAAAATTCATTTTGAAACTTAATCCCCAATGCAACAGGATTAAGAGGTGTGGCTCACACCTGTAACCACAGCACTTTTGAGGCCCAAGCAGAAGGATCACTTGAGCCTAGGAATTTGACACCAGCCTGGGCAACACAGTGAGACTCCATCTCTACCAAAAATAAAAAATAAAGAGGTGGGGCTTTCATGAGATGATTAGGCCATACTAGCTCCACCCTTATGGATAGGATTAATGACTTTATATAAGGACTCAAGGGAGCAAGTTCATTCCTTCTGCCAAGTGAGGACACAGAAACAAGGGACCATCTTGAAAGCAGAGGGCAACTTATCAAACACTGTATCTGCTGGAGCCTTGATTTTGGACTTCCCCCAACCTTCAGAACTGTGGGAAACAAATTTCTGTTCTTCATAAATTATCCAGTCTTAAGGTATTTTGTTATAGCAGCACAAAAAGACTAAGACATCTGAGGATGTTTTAATTCCACCCTCATTTTTTAAAATATTTTTTATTGAGGTTAAACACACACACGCATACGAAATTTACTATCTTTATCATTTTTAAGTATACAGTTCAGGGTAATAAATATATTTACATTCTTTTTCCCCCCCCTTCATCCTCTATCTGCTTCCCCACCAATATATGCTCTATTTTCATAAAATCTACTTTTCTAGCTCTGACATGTGAGTGAGAACATGCAATATTTGTTTTTCTGTGCTTGGCTAACTTCACTTAACATAATGGCCTCCAGTTTCATCCATGTTGCTGCATATGACAATATTTCAGTTTTGCTGGATCTAGAATTCATAACTGACAGTTTTCTTCCATCAATAACTGAATACATCCACCCACTAACTTGTGTTCCTGAAGGTTCTGAAGAGAAATCCGATGATGATCTTCTGGGGAAATTATAATAATAGATATCCTCCTCTCCATTCTACAGATGTTAATAATGTACCCAATTGTGTCTTATGCAACAGAACATTTCCTTAGGGTATCATGATGTCAGTTAATTTGTAGCATCATTTTGAGACCAAACATTCAGAGTTTAATTCAGAAAAAGGTATTGAATATTTTGAGTGTACACATTATGACATGTTTAAAAGCCAAAAGGTGTTAGAGATTTTGAACCTGGAAATAAAAAAGGCTGTTGTAGCATACTTCAGGTTTCAAAAAAAATAAATATCAACCTCTATAACCCACCTAAAGAATAAACACTTTAAAAAAAAAAAAAAAAAGAGGAAAAGCTTCTTGAGACCAAAAGTGAGAAAACCACTATGGATTATTCCTAGCTACAACTGGCCCATTTCTTGCTCTGGATATTATAAGGAGCCATTGTTCTGGAATTACAAACACCTAAATAAGCACTTGGCTGGATGTAGGTTTTTGGTCTGCACAGCCCAGTAAGCTGATTTTTGGTGACCTGACAAACAGAGACCACAATTATGTTGTTTCCTCATGTGTAGTGTTTTTTTCTATTTTATTTCTTTTTTCTCTACTTTGTCTTTGTCCTCATTTTTCTTTTTGTCATTTTTTTATTTCCTTTTTCTTATTATTTTTTCTTTTTATTTTCTCATCCTCCTTTACTCTTTTGTCCCACTTTTTAAATTCTTATATCTTCTTCCCATTTTTCTTCCACTTCCTTTGTTGTTTTTCTCATTTTTTCATTTTTTATTTAGTTAATGTTGCTGGTTAGCATTATTAGTATTGTTGGTTATCACTGTTAGTGTAGTCAGTATACAGTTGGTATTGTTAGTATTATGTTCATTAGTTAGTTAGCATAGTTTGTAGCACCAGTATTACTGGTTAGCATTCTTAGGATTTGTAGTTAGTGTAGCTAGGAGGTCACACTGTATTAATCTGTTTTCATGCTGATGATAAAGACATACCCAAGACTGGGCAATTTACAAAAGAAAGAGGTTTAACTGGACTTACAATTCTACATGGCTGGGGAAGCCTCACAATCATGGCAGAGGGCAAGGAGGAGCAAGTCACATCTTATGTATGGTGGCAGGCAAAGAGAGGAATGCTTGTGCAGGGAAGCTCCCCTTTTTGTAACCATCAGATCTCGTAAGACTTATTCCCTAACTCGAGAACAGCATGGAAAAGACCTGCACCCATGATTCAATTACCTCCCACTGGGTCCCTCCCATAACCGATGGGAATTCAAGATGAGATATGGATGGGGACATAGTCAAACCATATCATTCTGCCCCTGGCCATTCCCAAATCTAATGTCCTCACATTTCAAAACCAATCTTGCCTTCCCAACAGTCCCCCAAAGTCTTAGCTCATTTCAGCATTAACACAAAGGTCCACAGTCCAATGTCTCATCTGAGACAAGGCAAGTCCCTTCTGCTTATAAGCCTGTAAAACCAAAAGCAAGTTAGTTACTTCTAAGCTACAATGGAGGTAAAGGCATTGGGTAAATACAGCTGTTCTGAATGGTAGAAATTGGTCAAAACAAAGAGGCTACAGGCCCCATCCAAGTCCAAAATCCAGCAGGGCATTTAAATCTTAAATCTCCAAAATGATCTCCTTTGACTCCATGTCTCACATCCACGTCACACTGAAGCAAGAGGTGGGTTCCCATGGTCTTGGGCAGCTCCACCCCTGAGGCTTTGCAGGGTACAGCCTCCCTCCTGGCTGCTTTCACAGGCTGGTGTTGAGTATCTGTAGCTTTTCCAAGTGGATGGTGCAAGCTGTTGGTGCATCTACTATTCTGGGGTCTGAAGGATGGTGGCCCTCTTCTCACAGCTCCACTAGGCAGTCTCCCTGTGGAGAGCTCTGTGTGGGGGCTCCATCCCAACATTTCCCTTCCACAATGCCCTAGCAGAGGTTCTCCATGAGAGTCCTGCCCCTGCAGTAAACTTCTGCCTGGACATCCAGGCATTTCAATGCATCCTCTGAAATCTAGGCAGAGGTTCCCAAACCTCAATTCTTGACTTCTGTGCACTCGCAGACTCAGCACCACGTGGAAGCTGCCACAGCTTGGGGCTTGCATCCTCTGAAGCCACAGCCTGAGCTCTACATTGGCTCCTTTCAGCCACGGCTGGAGCTGCTGAGACGCAGGGCACCAAGTCCCCAGTTTGCACAAACCACGGGGACCCTAGGCCCGGCCCATGAAACCATCTTCTCCTAGGCCTCCAGGCCTGTGATGGGAAGGGCTGCCATGAGGACCTCTGACATGCCCTGGAGACATTTTCCCCATTGTCTTGGGAGTTAACATTCAGCTACTTGTAATTTCTGTAAGGGCTTGAATTTCTCCTCAGAAAATAAGTTTTTACTTTCTATTTCAATGTCAGGCTGCAAATTTTCCTAACTTTTATGCTCTGCTTCCCTTATAAAACTGAATGCCTTTAATAGTACCCAAATCACCTCTTGAATGCTTTGCTGCTTAGAAATTTCTTTGGCTGGCCAGGCTCGGTGGCTCACACCTGTAACCCCAGCACTTTGGGAGGCTGAGGCAGGTGAATCACCTGAAGTCAGGAGTTCGAGACCAGCCTGGCCAACATGGTGAAAACCCGTCTCTACTAAAAATACAAAAATTAGCTGGGCGTGGTGGCGGGCACCTGTAATCCCAGCTACTCAGGAGGCTGAAGCAGGACAATCACTTGAACCCGGGAGGCAGAGGCTGCAGTGAGCTGACATCGCATCATGGCACTCCAGCCTGGGCAACAACAGTGAGACTCTGTCTCAAAAAAAGAAAAAGAAATTTCTTCCTCCAGATACCCTAAATCATCTCTCTCAAGTTAAAAGTTCTACAAATTTCTAGGTCAGGGGCAAAATGCCACCAGTCTTTTTGCTAAAACATAACAAGAGCCACCTTTGCTCTAGTTCCCAACAAGTTCTTCATCTCCATCTGAGACCACCTCAGCCTGGGCCTTATTGTCCATATTGCTATCAGGCTTTTGGTCAGAGCCATTCAACAAGTCTCTAGGAAGTTCCAAACTTTCCCACATTTTCCTGTCCTCTTCTGAACCCTCCAAACCCTTCAAATCTCTGCCTGTTACCCAGTTCCAAAGTGGCTTCCACATTATTGGTTATCTTTTCAGCAGCACCCCACTCTACTGGTACCCATTTACCATATTAGTCCTTTTTCATGCTGCTGATAAAGACATACCCATGACTGGGCAATTTACAAAACCAAGAGGTTTAACTGGATTTATAGTTCCACGTGGCTGGGGAAGCCTCACAATCACGGCAGAAGGCAAGGAGGAGCAAGTCACATCTCACATGGATGGCGGCAGGCAAAGAGAGGAGCGCTTGTGCAGGGAAACTCTCAATAGCCATCAGATCTCATGAGATTTATCCACTATCATGAGAACAGCACAGGAAAGACCTGCCCCCATGATTCAATTACCTCCCACCGGGTCCCTCCCACAACAAATAGGAATTCAAGATGAGATCTGGGTGGGGACACAGCCAAACCATATCAGTCACCATGTAGCAGGGTCTCACCTTGTCTGGTGAGGAGACACTTATTTACAATTACAGGGTCCTCAAGACCATCGGCCGGGGTAGCTTCGCTAAGGTGAAGCTGGCCTGGCATATTCTGACTGAGACCCAGATAGCCATGAAGGTCATCCACAAAGCTCAGCAGAGCTCCTCCAGCCTCCAGAGACTATACCAAAGTATATATATATTCAGTATAATGAAGGTCCTGAATCACTCCAATATCAGCAAACTCTCTCAAGCAACCAAGACAACAGAAACATTATATTTAGTCCTGGAATGTGCCAGCAGAGCAGAGCTATTTGACTACATCCTAGAGTATGGCCACAGAAAGGAGAAAGAGACCTGAGGCCAGTTCCTGCAAACAGTATCTACTGTGCAGTATTGCCACCAGAAGAAAATTGTCCACAGGGACCTGAAGCCAGAGAACTTCCTTCTGGATACCAATTACAACATAAAAACAGCAGACTCTGGCTTTGGCAGCAGGTTCACTGTTAGCCAGAATCTGGGCACATTTTGTGGGAGTCCCCCTTATGCTGCCTCAGAAATCTTCCAGGGACAAAATTATGACCACCCTTCTCCCTGCCCCAGTGGATTTGTGGAGCCTGGGAGACCTTCTCTACACCATGGTGACAAGGTCTTGCCATTTGTCAGACTGACCTTTGTGGAACTGCAAGACGAGATATGTTACGGGAATTACAAAATCCCATTCTTCATTTCCTCAGAACTAGAAAGCCTCATGAACAAACTGCTTACCCTCAACCCCAGGAAGAGGAACACAATAGGCTAGATTATGGGGCATCCATGAGTCAATAACGACCAGGGGATACTAAGGCCACACCAGGAGCCACTCCCTCATTACCAAGTCCACGGAAAGACACAGCTCATGGTGTCCATGGGGTTCAAGGCAGACCACATCCAGGAGTCCTTGTTGGGAAAACAAATATGACTACACCATGGCCACATACCTAGTCCTGGTGTATAGGAAACTGGAGGAAGGCTCCATCAAGAGAGTGCAGCCCCTGCCTTCTGGGGGTCCCACCAATTCTTCCCCATTCCCCAAAGTATATTCCACCTTCCCTGTCTACTCAAAGAGGAGGAGTCTAAGCTAGCCTGCCTTTCCCACCTTTACCTTGGTTACTTCTAAAAGTCAGCCAGCTGAGAAGAACAAGTGTTAGGGCAGAAGACCACCAGAAAAGCCACCATGCCTGCCAGTCCCTTACTCGACCTGAAAATGAGACCAATATTAACATAACCCCCTCCACTCAATGTACCAGCAGCAGTGGAGGAAACCCAGAAGGAGTCACCTGTCCCCAACGATAATCTTAGGAACCAAATCCCTCCATGCTGAGCGACCAGATGATGTGACCTGAGCCTCATCCCTATGGCAAGTGCCAGGGCCAGTAGGGGGCCTCTAGGATGTTTGTCAAACTTCATCTTAAGAACACTTTGCTGGCCGGGCACAGTGGCTCATGCCTGTAATCCCAGCACTTTGGGAGGCAGAGGTGGGTGGATCATTTGAGGTCAGGAGTTCAAAACCAGCCTGGCCAACATGGTGAAACCTCGTCTCTACTAAAAATACAAAAATTAGCTGGGCGTGGTGGCACGTGCCTGCAATCCCAACTACTTGGGAGGCTGAGGCAGGAGAATTGCTTGAGCCCATGAGGCGGAGGTTGCAGTGAGCCAAGATCACACCACTGCACTCTAGCCTGGGAGACAGAGTGAGACTCGTCTCAAAAAACAAAACAAAACAAAACAAAACAAAATGAAAAAGAATCCTTTGCTTCCTGCAGGCCCAAAGACCCACCACACAGCTAGAAATAAAGTGGCACCAATGGACAGCTGAGGCCAAGAAATAAACCAAGTATGTGGGGTGGCTGAGATTCATTTTCTTTTCATTTCATTTCATTTCTTTATTTCATTTCATTTCATTATTTCATGGAGTTTTGCTCTTCTTGCCCAGGCTGGAGTGCAATGGCGTGATCTCGGCTCACTGCAACCTCCGCCTCCTGGGTTCAAGCAATTCTCCTGCCTCAGCCTCCCAAGTAGCTGGTATTACAGGCATGTGCCACCATGCCCAGCTAATTTTGTATTTTTAGTAGAGATGGAGTTTCTCCATGTTGGTCAGGCTGGTCTTGAACTCCTGACCTTAGGTCATCTGCCCACCTCGGCCTCCCAAAGTGCTGGGATTACAGGCGTGAGCCACTGCGCCCGGCCGATTATTTTTTAAGAGACAGGGTCTTGTTCTGTCACCCAGGCTGGAGTACAGTGGCAGGATCATAGCTCACTGTAATCTCAAACTTCTGGGCTCAAGCAATACTCTTGCCTGATCCTCACAAGTAGCTAGGGCTACAGATATACACCAACAAGCCTATTTTTTTGTAGAGATAGAGTATTGCTATGTTGCTCAGGCTGATTAAACTCCTGGCCTCAGTGATCTTTGCCCTTCGGCCTCCCAAAGTGCTGGGATTACAGGTATGTGAACCACCGCACCCAGCCTATTATGTTTCAGTTAATATGATTTTTAATTACCAAATCATAATTGTATACATTTATGGGTACCATGTGATGTTTAGATATATGTATACAATATGGAATGATTAAGTTAAGCTAACTAACATATATCTATCACCTCAGAAAAACAATTACCACGTGATATCACCAATGTGTTGAATCTTAAAAAGTTGAACCCCGGCCGGGCCGGGTGGCTCACACCTGTAATCCCAGCACTTCGGGAGGCCAAGGCGGGTGGATCACGAGGTTAAGAGATCGAGACCACCCTGGCTAACATGGTGAAACCCCGTCTCTACTAAAAAATACAAAAAATTAGCTGGGCGTGGTGGCATGTGCCTGTAGTCCCAGCTACTCGGGAGGCTGAGGCAGGAGTATGGCATGAACCTGGGAGGCGGAGCTTGCAGTGAGCCAAGATTGCGCCACTGCACTCCAGCCTGGGAGACAGAGCGAGACTCCATCTCCAAAAACAAAATAAAAAATAAAAAATAAAAAAATAAAAAAAATAAATAAAAATGTTGAACCCCAACCCGGTCAATACAGTGAGACCGCATCTCTACAAAAAATAAAAGTAAACAGGTGTGACAGTGTAGGCCTATTGTCCCAGCTCATTGAGAGGCTGAGGCAGAAGGATCACTTGAACCCAGGAGTCCAAGGCTGCAGTGAGCTATGATTGAGCCACTGCACTCTAGCCTGGGTAACACAGCAAGACTCTGTCTCTAAAAATCAAAGAAAAATTTAAAAGCTAAAAATAAACAGTTGAACCCACAGAAGTAGAGAGTAGACTGATGGTGAACAGAGGCTGGGGTGGTGGGAGAGAGAAATAATGGAGGGTTGTTTATCAAAGGGTACAATGTTTCGGACAGGAGGAATAACTTTCTAATCTACTGCACAGCAGGGTGACTACAGTCAATAATAAATATTTGGACATTTCAGAATATCCGAGTCTATTTCAAATGTCTCCTTGCATTTAGAATAGAAAGCAACAAGATCCCGAGCTCCATGGATCCTGACAATACAGCATGGCAGGTCAGCCAAGCATGGACTTAAATAGGTGCCAGGGGGCGCTGGTCAAGAAGCCCACATTGCTGTGTGACCAGCACACTCAGCTCAGAGGACTCAACCAGCAGAGGATGGATGTGTGCAAACTGCCAACAAAGTCTCTGCATGGGATTCAAGTCAAGAGGACAACTGGCACCCCTGTGGCCTTCAAAAGCATCCTATTCAAAGTAAGGGGTGAGTCCCTCCATCCCACCTGGAGCAATGTCAGAGCCTGGACTGTGTTTCCTGGAACACTTCTCCCCTTCCCTGCTCTTCTGTGTCTTTTCTTAATAAGATGGTGCTCACCCGGGCCTGGTGGCTCAGGCCGGTAATCCCAGCACTTTGGGAGGCTGAGGCATGTGGATCACTTGAGGTCAGGAATTCGAGACCAGCCTGGCCAACATGGCGAAACCCCGTCTCTACTAAAAATACAAAAATTAGTTGGGCATGGTGGTGCGCGCACCTGTAATCCCAGCTACTCAGGAGGCTGCGGTGGGAGAACTGCTTGAACCAGGGAGGCAGAGGCTGCAGTGAGCTGAGATCATGCCACTGCACTCCAGCCTGGGCAACAAAGCAAAACTCTGTCTCCAAAACAAAAAAAAAGATGATTCTTAATAAACTACTGTTTCTTCCAAATTTTACAGTACAACTGAAACTCCAGAAAGATGGGTCACATCTAATTTTGCTGTTTTGCACCCTCCCTGCAGAATTGGGGCAGTGCATACCCTAGTTTAGGCAACAGGTAGACACGCAGTACTTGAAGTTAACCAGAAAAATTTAATGAAAAAGTGACTTCAGCCGGGCGCGGCAGCTCACGCCTATAATCCCAGCACTTTGGGAGGCCGAGACGGGTGGATCATGAGGTCAGGAGATTGAGACCATCCTGGCTAACACAGTGAAACCCTGTCTCTACTAAAAATACAAAAAAATTAGCCAGGTGTGGTGGCGGATGCCTGTAGTCCCAGCTACTCGGGATGCTGAGGCAGGAGAATGGTGTGAACCCAGGAGGCAGAGCTTGCAGTGAGCCGAGATCGCACCACTAAACTCCAGCCTGGGCAACAGAGCGAGAATCTGTCTCAAAAAAAAAAAAAAAGAAAAAGAAAAAAAGAAAAAGTGACTTCAGAGAAGTATCAAGGAAACCTCAACAGCAAAAAATTATTACAAGTGGCTCTGAGCCAAATGCAGGGCAGAAACACACACATTGTATGTGACCTCACACTGACATTACCTGGTTAGCTTTTCACAAGGACCAATGGCAACTTTAAATCCTGTGGGCCTGTGTTAATTGGGCCAAAAGGTCCACAATAGGATAAGGAATTCTTGTGAACCAGGCTGTGCTGGGAGCTATACAAGTGGCACAGGTGTGGTCCCCAAAGCAGCTTAGCAGATCACTTGGCTGTGCTGCTGAGGTTCCCAACTGGATAATGAAGGAGTGTGGCCTTTCCACTGTGATGTTTTCTTTTTATTACAGTGGAATGTAGTCGATAATAATGCATCATATTTCAAATAATAATGTATCATATTTCAAAATATCTAAGAGAATAAATTTCAAATGTCTCCCAAATGGATCAGTCCCTCTAAGAGGGCTGACCCAGGTATGGGCCTTTCTGTCTGCCCAAATCTATTGGTGAACCCCTCTAATAAAGTTTTCATCTCAGTTATTGTACTTTTATGCTCCAGAATTTCTGTATAGTTCCTTTTTATAGTTTCTATCTTTTTGAGACTGGGTCTCACTCTGTCACCCAGTGGAGTGCAGTGATGTGACCATAACTCAATGCAGCCTCCAACCGCAGGGCTCAAGTGATCCTCCCACTCTAGCCTCCCAAGTAGCTGGACTACAGGCATGTGCCAATTTTTTTTTTTTTTTAAGAGCAAGAATTTGGCCAGGTGCGGTGGCTCACACCTGTAATCCCAACACTTTGGGAGGTCAAGGCAGGTGGATCATCTGAGGTCAGGAATTCAATACCAGCCTGGCCAACATGGTGAAACCCCGTCTTTACTAAAAATACACAAGTTAGCTGGGTGTGGTGGTGGGCGCCTATAAACCCAGCTACTCGGGAGGCTGAGGAGGAGAATCGCTTGAACCCAGGAGATGGAGGTTGCAGTGAGCCGAAATCATGCCACTACACTCCAGCCTGGGAGACAGAGCGAGACTGTCTCAGAAAAAAAAAAAAAAAGAGAGAGAGAAATTATTTTGTCATGTTGAATAGGCTGATATTGAACGTATAGGCTCAAGCAATCCTCCCATCTTGGCCTCCCAAAGTGCTGGCGTTACAGGCATGAGCCACTGCACCCAGCCTCTTTCTTGATTTTGTTCAGAGACTGTATTTCTGCTCTCCTTCAGTTCTTCATCTGTGGTTCCTTTAGTCCACTGAGCATATTGCTGACAGTTGCTCTAATGTCTTTGGCTAGCAATTCCAATGTCCAAGCTGAGACCCCATCTCTACAAAAAAAATTAGTCAGGCATGGTGGTACACACCTGTGGTCCCAGTGAGAGGTGACAACATGCTGGTGGCCCTTGCTCGCTCTCAGCACCTCCTCGGCCTCGGCGTCTGCTCTGGCCATGCTTGAGGACCCCTTCAGCCTGCTGCTGTACTGTGGGAGCCCCTCTCTGGGCTGGCCAAGGCTGGAGCCGGCTCCCTCTGCTTGCAGGGAGTTGTGGAGGGAGAGGCATGGGCGGGAAACTGGGGCTGCGCGCGGCACTCGCGGACCAGCGGGAGTTCCGGGTGGGTGTGGGCTTGGAGGGCCCCACACTCGGAGTGGCCGGCTGGCGCCACCGGCCTGGGGCAGTGAGGGGCTTAGCACCCAGGCCAGCAGATGTGGAGGGGGCACCGGGTCCCCCAGCACCGCCAGCCCACCTGTGCCACATTCGAATTCTCACCAGGCCTCAGCTGCCTCCCCGTGGGGCAGGGCTCTGGACCTGCAGCCCGCCATGCCCGAGCCCTCCTGCGGTGGGCTCCCGTGAAGCCCGAGCCTCCCCGACGGGCACCGCCCCCTGCTCTGCAGCGCCTGGTCCCATCGGCAGCCCAAGGGCTGAGGAGTGCAGGTGCGCAGCATGGGACTGCTGGGCAGCTCCGCCCGTGGCCCTGGCACGGGATCCGCTAGGCGAAGCCAGCTGGGCTCCTGAGTCGAGTGGGGACTTGAAGAACTTTTATGTCTAGCTAGAGGATTGTAAATACACCAATCAGCACTCTGTGTCTAGCTAATCTAGTGGGGACTTGGAGAACCTTTATGTCTAGCTAAAGGATTGTAAATACACCAATCAGCACTCTGTATCTAGCTCAAGGTTTGTAAACGCACCAATCAGCACTCTGTGTCTAGCTCAAGGTTTCTAAATGCACCAATCAGTGCTCTGTGTCTAGCTAATCTAGTGGGGACTTGGAGAACTTTTACGTCTAGCTAGAGGATTGTAAACACACCAATCAGCACTCTGTGTCTAGATCAGGGATTATAAACACACCAATCAGCATCCTGTCAAAACAGACCAATCAGCTCTCTGTAAAATGGGCCAATCAGCAGGATGTGGCTGGGATCAGATAAGGGAATAAAAGCAGGCTGCCCGAGCCAGCATGGGCAACCCGCTCGGGTCCCCTTCCACACTGTGGAAGCTTTGTTCTTTCGCTCTTTGCAGTAAATCTTGCTGCTGCTCACTCTTTGGGTCTGCACTGCCTTTATGAGCTATAACACTCACTGAGAAGGTCTGCAGCTTCACTCCTGAAGCCAGCGAGATCACGAACCCACCGGGGGGAATAAACAACTCTAGACGGGAGGAACGAACAACTCCAGACGTGCCACCTTAAGAGCTGTAACACTCACCGTGGAGGTCTGCAGCTTCACTCCTGAAGCCAGCGAGACCACGAACCCACCAGAAGGAATAAACTCTGAACATGTCCGAACATCAGAAGGAAGAAACTCTGGACACGCTATCTTTAAGAACTGTAACACTCACCGCTAGGGTCTGCGGCTTCATTCTTGAAGTCAGTGAGACCAAGAACCCACCAATTCCGGACATACTAGCTACTCAGAAGGCTGAGGTGGGAGGATCGCCTGAGCCTGGGAGGCCAAGGCTGCAATGAGTCGATGAGTCATGATCGCACTACTATACTCCAGCCTGGGTGACAGAGCAATGCCCTGTCTCCAAGGAAAAAAAAAATGTTTGTGTGTATGTATATGTATGCGTGTATGTATCTGTGTATATACGTATAAAACAAAACAGACGCAAATAAGACAGCAGTACTGTCCCACAGACAAAGAATGAAACAGAAGAGTTAAAAAACAAAAGACACAGCCAGGCATGGTGGCTCATGCCTGTAATCCCAGCACTTTGGGAAGTGGAGGTGGGAGGATTGCTTGAGTGCAGGAGTTCGAGACCAGCCTAGGCAACATAGTGAGACACCATCTCTATTTCGTAAATAAATCTATTTAAAATAAAAATAAAAAAAGACATGGAAGTAGGAAATATACTGTGTGATAAAAAAAATTTCTAGTCAAAGAGAAAAGATAATACAATAAAATACTGGGAAAACTATACATTTGGGAAAAGATTCCGACATATTATACCTGGCTAAGTGCTAGAATTACTAGAAGAAAACATTGTTTTTATTGTCCTGGGGGTGGGAAAGGCCTAAGCATAATATGAAACACAGAAAATGAATTGACAGATGTGACTACAGAAAAGTCTCTATGTTACAAAAACATGCCATCAGCCAAACAAGACCAAGAGATACAAGCCAGGAATAATGTTTGCAACACGAAAAGGATCAAAATTCTTGCCATATAAAGTTTATAAACTGGGAGAGAGGTGAGGTACAAGAACCTCACATGGGCTTTAGAGAACAAAAGCCAATTCACAAAAGACTATAAATATACAAAAGCAGAAAGTGAAAGTTAAAAAAAATTTTAAGTATATATAAAAAAATGTAGTTAATATTTTTTCTACATTTATTATACAATTATATATACTTAAATTTCTACAAAATTTAAGTGAATATAAAAAAGTAGTTAGTATTTTTCTAGTTTAATCTATCAAACAAAGAAACACAAGTCTTTTTTTTTTTTTTTTTTTTTTTTTTGAGACATCTCCCTCTGTCACCTAGGCTGGAGTACAGTGGAATTATCATGGCTTCCTGTAGCCTCAACCTCCTGGGCTCAAGTGATCCTCCCCTGAATCTCCCAAGTAGGTGTGACTACAAGTATGTGCCACCACACCCAGCTATTTTTTTTTTTTTTAACTTTTTGTAAAGACAGGGTCTTACCATGTTGCCTAGGCTGGTCTTGAACTCCTGGGCTCAACCGATCCTCCCACCTTGGCCTCCTAAAATGCTGGCATTACAGGCATGAGTGACCCACCAGGCCTGGCCAAAACACAAGCCCTCAACAATGAGACATCATTTAAATTTTTCCCATTCATTAAACTGGCAAGGATTAAGAAAACTGACAATTGACAAGTATATAAATGAAATTCTCAAACTACAAAATGTAAAGTATACAACCTTCCTGAAGGCTATATGGCAATGAAAACCAAATTTTAAGTATGTATACTCACTAAATCTTAAGGAAATGATTAGATAAGTAGGAAAATATAAATATTAAATACTTTTCTTTCTCTGTTGCCAGGCTGGAGTGCAGTGGCGCCATCTCGGCTCACGGCCATCTCTGCCTCCCAGGTTCAAGCGATTCTCCTGCCTCAGCCTCCAGAGTAGCTGGGATTACAAGTGCACGCCACCACACCCAGCTAATTGTTGTATTTGTTTTAGTAGAGACGGGATTTCACCATGTTGGTCAGGATGGTCTTGATCTCCTGACCTCGTGATCCACCCATCTCGGCGGCCTCCCAAAGTGATGGGATTGATTGCAGGCGGGAGCCACCGTGCCCAGCCCTTTTCTTTGTTTTTGTTTTTTTTGAGATGGAGTTTCGCTCTTGTTGTCTAGGCTGGAGTGCAATGGCACAATCTCGGCTCACTGCAACCTCTGCCTACCAGGTTCAAGCAATTCTCCTGCCTCAGCCTCCCAAGTAGCTGGGATTACAGGCATGTGCCACCATGCCCGGCTAATTTTGTATTTTTAGTAGAGACAGGGTTTTACCATGTTGGTCACGCTGGTCTTCAACTGACCTCAAGTGATCCACCCGCCTTGGCCTCCCAAAGTGCTGGGATTACAGGCGTGAACCACTGCGCCCGGCCCTATTAAATACTTTTCTTAAAGAGCTGGAAATAACTGAAATGTTCATTTAGAGGATTGTTAAATTATGATCAATATTATACAGTCATTAAAAATAGTATGTACTTATAAGAAAAGCTGACTATATGGTTAAATTTTTAAAAAGCTAATAGCAGAAGAGTATGTATTTTATGATCTCATTTAAATTTTATAAAAAATAAACGTTTTGAATTATAGCCATCAAATTATCCAGAATGACAGAAAAAAACTGTTCACTTTAAGACTTTTTTTTTTTTTTGAGATGAAGTCTTGCTCTGTTGGCAAGGCTGGAGTGCAGTGGCGCGATCTTGGCTCACTGCAACCTCTGCCTCTCAGGTTCAAGCAATTCTCCTGCCTTACCCTCCTGAGTAGCTGGGATTACAGGAGCGCACCACCACACCCAGCTACTTTTTGTATTTTTGGTGGAGACGGGGTTTCACCATGTTAGTCAGGCTGGTGGTCTTGAACTCCTGACCTCAGGTGATCCGCCCACCTCAGCCTTCCAAACTGCTGAGATTACAGGCGTGAGCCACCACTCCCGGCCCGCTTTAAGACTTTTATACTGCTTCTGTAATTTAGAAACGAGTACACATTTTAAAGAAAAATCTAACTGCCTACCAGTGCCTCTTGCCTCTCAGAAACGAATGGGCAAAGCTCCATATACTCAATGGCTAACAGGGTCCTTAAAGTTTCTGATGGTGTCAACTAACCAGTTAGGATGTTGCAAAAGCCACAGCAGTATGTCCAAGAGTCAGAGAATGTCAAAATACGAAAGGATCTTAAGGATTACACATTACTCTCGTTTTTCAGAAATGGAGACTAAAGCTTAGTAACAGATTTGACAGCCATACTATGGCCTTGCTTAAGAAAGCTTCTACAATCCTACAGCTTCTGACACACTGATTTCAAACAATGTGAAGAATTTACAGGCATTTTTTTTTCCAACCAGGTATGACAACAGATGTATTGTACATGTATCTATCAAAAGCCATTTGAGAAATATCCATTTAGTTCTTTCTTTCAAATGGTTAACATTTGGGGAAAAACAGGTAAATCAGTCTGGGACTTACCCTTAAGGCCCCCTCCTAAGGTAGGAAAGATACATATACAAAATCCACAACTATAAGATAATCTGTGGCAAGCCCCAGGGATTCAGTAAAAAGAACACTATAGACGTAAGTGGTCAAGAAAAGCTTTAAAAGTGGACTGGTACCTGAGTCAGGCAGGATGCCAACAGAGTACTGGAGCTAGAAAACAGAGATGAAGGGGAATTGACAGGAATCAAGATAAAGGAAGTAGGGAACAAAGTGTGGTAAGGAAAAGGTGAATAAAGCAACTCAGAGGAATATGTGTCTTTATCAAAAAAAACAAAGCCAGGAAGGCAAGCTGGAGACCATTTGTGGAGAGCCTCAAACAAGAATAATGGAAAAACATAGGGTTCTTGACGAGTAGTGGCTCACATCTGTAATCCTAGCACCTTGGGAAGCCAGGGTGGGCGAGCTACTTGAGCCCAGAAGTTTGGGACCAGCTGGGCAATATGGCCAAGACCCTGTCACTATCAAAAAAACAAAATTAACTGGGCGTAGTGGCACACAACTGTAAGCCCAGCTACTCAGGAGGCTGAGGTAGGAGGATGACTTGAGCTCAAGAGGTCAAGGCTGCAGTGAGCTGTGTTCAGGCCACTATACTCCAGCCTGGGCAACAGTGAGACCTTGTCTCAAAACATTAAAATATAAAATAAAAACAAGAACAAATCCTTAAAAAAAAGGGGAGTGGGGTTTCTAAAGACAGGGCAGAGCTGGGCATGGTGATTCATTCCTGTAATCCTAGCACTTTGGGAGGCCAAAATAGGAGGATCACTTGAGGCCTAGAGTTTGAGACAAGCCTAGGCAACACGGTGAAACTCTATCTCTTAAAAAAAAAAAAAAAAAAAAAAAAAAAAAAAACTACAAAAAAATAGCCAGATGTGGTGGCATGTGCCTGTAGTCCCAGCTACTGGGGAAGTTGAGATGAGAGGATCACCTAAGCCTGGGGAGGGCGTGGCTGCGGTGAGCCATGATGGCACCACTGTACTGTAGCCTGAGTGACAGAGTGAGACCCTGTCTCAAAAAAAAAAAAAAGAGAGACAGAAAGATAGGTGGCTCACACATGTAATCCCAGCACCTTGGGAGGCTGAGGCAAGCAGATTGCTGGAGCTCAGGAGTTCGAGACCAGCCTGGGCAACATGGTGAAATCCCATCTCTATCAAAAATATAAAAAATTAGCTGGGGCATGGTGGTGCACACCTGTAGTCCCAGCTACTTGGGAGGCTGAGGTGGGAGGATCGCTTGAGCCTGGGAGGCAGAGGCTGCAGTGAGCTGGGGTTGCACTGTCACTGTACTCCAGCCTGGGTGACAGAGCGAGACTCCATCTCAAAAAAAAAAAAAAAAAAAAGGCCGGGAGCGGTGGCTCACGCCTGTAATCTCAGCACTTTGGGAGGCTGAGGGAGGCGGATCACAAGGTCAGGAGATCGAGACCATCCTGGCTAACACAGTGACACCCCGTCTCTACTAAATATACAAAAAATTAGCCAGGTGTGTGGTGGCGGGCGCCTGTAGTCCTAGCTACTCGGGAAGCTGAGGCAGGAGAAGGGCGTGAACCCGGAAGGTGGAGCTTGCAGTGAGCCAAGATCGCGCCACTGCACTCCAGCCTGGGTGACAGAGGGAGACTTCATCTCAAAAAATAATAAATAAATAAATTTCTTAGGATCGGAAGGTGATTAGTGAGTAAAGACGGGCAACACAGTATCTATAACTAAGCTCTTTTTAGCATTTAAATTACCAGCTGATTTGTAGAAAGAGATTCTGCAAATGAGAGCTATTTCCCCCAATAGCTATTACATATTATAAGCCAAGTATGATACTAGTGCTATTTCCCAAATATTTCCAACTCCGTGCCTTCCAAGTCCACACATGTAGGATCACACTTGATTCCTTGTGTGGTGTGACTCATTTTGGCCAATGAACCCTAAGCAGAAGTGACATGAAATAATGTGTCATTCCTGTGCTGGAATTTAACTGTATTCAACTGTATTTAAATTTTTTTAAATTTAAATACTGTTAAATAACTTTATTTAACAGTATTTAAATTTATCTGTATGTGCTGGATTTAAACTGTACGTGCTGGAATTTAACTGCCTCCAACAGTTCTTTTTCCCTTTGCCAAGACAGCCATCAATACTCCTATCACGGCTGCTCCTTTGGTTGGAGTAAGAATGATGCAGAGCCTCTAGAAAACCCATGCTCTTTTTGACCACTTTGAGGTTATTGGTTACTACAGCATAACCTAGCTTATTCTGTCTGATAGTGCTTGAAGATTCACCACCTGAAAATCTATGTTTCAAAAGAAACAGACTAGTCTGAAATCCCTCTTTTAAAAACATTTAAATAAAACTGAATGATAAAATGTACAAAGGCTGTTCTTCCGCAGAAGATGCTATTATTCTTCTGCCATTATTAAAGAATTATCTGTCAACTTGGAATACTGGATGCTAGTCCCAGTCCCACTAACACACAGTGGCTCCAAGATACTGAGCATGACCTTTTAGTCCATTTCCTCATCTAAAAAAAAAAAAAGAGACAAATCAAATGCTGCTTAAATTGTGAAGTTTAAACAAGGTAACAACCTCTATGAAATGTAAAGACATTGTTTATGTACTTTGCTCTGAGTACTGCATTCCTGCTGGGAGGGAAAAGGCAAAGGCAACTTACACAAAGAAGAGTGTCTTGGAAGGCAATTCTTGTGAAGAGGACTTCACTCCTGGATCAATAGATTCTTCAATACGATGCACCACTGTCATCAAGCTTTCTGAACCCAGGTACTAAGCCAAAAGTTTAGTCTCTAACGAGAGACCAGGATGATTCCTGCCTTTTTTTCTTTTTGGTAAGGCAAACTGGAAAGCAGATAGCTAGTAAAACAGTTACATAAGAACTATCTTCGATAGTTTGATATCAACCCTAGATTATCTCAGGCATTTAACCAGTAAAACAGACTGCCCATAAATTGCTAAGAGGAGCCCACAATGGGCTGGCTAAAGAGGAAAACCAAACTAACTGCTCTCTTCCTCTATCCCACCTCCCCTAACCAGCTCCCATGTTTAACTTTTCATTAAAGCCACTTCTGAAGAAGCAACTCTCTGAAAGTTTAAGCACAACTCTTGTAGTATTTCAATCCTAGCCCACTAAGCTCTTAATGTATGGTTTCTTTAGACAAATTACAACATCAAAGCCATTCCTCACCCATAACTGGGGTACTATCTGACTTAATTGTGAGGTTCAAGTGACAGGATTATGCTGTGTCTATTCCAGCATTACAGAGTGAAGTGCCACTTGGTTGAACTTAAATCCTCTAACAAGGGATTGCAGTGCCTGCCCTCCCTACCAGGATCTGGTTTCCATACATACAGTCATTCCCAAATTAGAGCTACTGCAATCCCTACATCCATTCATTGACTTATGCCATTCTTTCCAACTATAATGGTTTCCCAACTCTCACCTGCCTACCAATTTATTTAAAAATCCACTCAACATGCCCCTCACCACCCCAGGCATTGAACAACTCTAAACTAAGTAACTCTCATCTGCCCTGTATTTACAATTATTCCTGAATAATTCTCCACAGGGGCCAACAGTGTTTTCTTATAGTAGAGAAGAAAAACCTGTTAAATGAACACAGAACACATAGTTCATCATTCAGGAAACCCACATATATTAACCACTGACCCAGAAGCATAACTTACATGCTATAAACGGTAACTTACTCTGAAAAGCTAGAACTGGAAAAAATTTAAACAAAAGCTTAGTAATATTTCAAGATCCATTCTAGAATAATGATTCATCCTTGTCCTCAAGTGGCTTAGAGTTGGAAGACAGGCAAAGTCATGTAATATTATTTCAATCAAACTAAGGTCTATAATGGATACACAAAGCTGAAGATCACGCAGCCAAAAGGCTGGTGGTGAAAGGCCCACTAATATCTGAAGGGTCAGTCAGAATATGCAAAACAGACCTATTTCTAGCATATGTACGATAGAATGTGATATTCTAAGGGCTCAAGTGTCTGACCAAAAAAGAGAGTTGGAATGAAAGCACCATCTACTATGGTTAGATCTACACCCCACAGATTACTCTTTCACAGGCCAATTCCACCACCAGGAATGGAGTCCAGACTATAAAAGTAAGCTATGGGCAACTATGGAAGACTAACTGCTCATTCACTGGACTGAAGCGGTGTTTTCCTTTCTTTCTTTTCTTTCCTTTTTTTTTTTTTTTTTTTTTTTGAGGTAGGGTCTCATTCTGTCGCCCAGGCTAGAGTGCAGTGGTGAAATCTCAGCTCCACCTCCCAGGTTCAAGCGATTCTCATGCAACATCCACCTCCCAGGTTCGAGCGATTGTCATGTCTCAGCCTCCCAAGTAGCTGGAATTACAAGTGCCCACCACCACGCCTGGCTAATTTTTTGTATTTTCAGTAGACACAGGGTTTCGCTATGTTGGCCAGGCTGGTCTTGAACTCCTGGCCTCAAGTGATCCGCCCACCTCGGTCTCCCAAAGTGCTGGGATTACAGGCATGAGCCACTGTGCCTGGCCGAACCTCTGCTTTTAACCCCAATGGATTTAAGTAGCATTTACAAGAGGTAGTCTCAAACTGACACGTTTTACTCCAGGATAACCTTCCCCAGTCCCTTGAGGTTCCCCTACACTGGTGAGTAAACAAGCTGTACCATGGTGCCATAAAGAAATGGCTTTCTACCAGAGGGAACTAAAATTAGAGAGAAAAAGTTACAAGTGCTAGCAAGGATGTGGAATATTTGGACTTCTTATATACTGCTGGTGGAAGAATACGCTGGTACAACTTTTGAAAACTGGCCATATCTACTAGAGCAGAATAGATACTCTTATGAAGTGAACTGTGTCCACCTAAAATTTTTAAGTTGAAATTCTAATCCCCAATATATCAGAATGTGACTTATTTGCAGACAGGGCCTTTAAAGAAGTAACTGAGGTTAAGTGAGGTCATAAGGGTGGGCCTCAATCCAATACGACTGGTGTCCTAAAAGAAAAGGAGAATAGGACACAGCCAATACAGAGGAAAGATCCTGTGAAGATACAGGGAAGAGAAGACAGTCATTTACAAACCAAGGAGAGGCTTCAGAAGAAACTAATCCTCCCGACAGCTTGACCTCAGATTTCTAACCTTCAGAATTGAGAAAATAAATTTCTGTTTAAGCCACTCTATCTGTGATACTTGTTACGGCAGCCCTAGCAAATGAATACAGACACATACCCTAAAACTCAGTCTTTTTACTTAAATACATTATGATATATCACATAATACTACTGAGCAATGGAAACTCCAGTTACAACTGTACACAACAACACAAAGTCTCACAAACAACACTGAGTCAAAGAAACCAGATACGCAAGAATACACAGTGTATGATTCCATTTACACAAAATCCAAATCAGGCAAAATTAGTCTACAGTTCTAGAAATCAGAAGACTCACTACGCAAGCATCAGGGCATCGATGATAATGACTTAAAGGAGACTAAGAGGGCCTCTGGGTTTATAAAAATTCTCTAAGCCGTCCACTTATTTGTGCACTTTTCTGTATATATGTATGTTTACTAAAATACAGAAATGATAAATTACTTGGAAATACAGGCAACAATGTACTTATCCAGTGTTACCATGGCAAATAAACCTTACTCTGGAGCTGGATGCATCAGGTTCCTCACTCGTTACCAACAAACATTTGAAAAATACAGCTATTCCTATGATCCCCAGCTTCTCATCATTCAGTGTCTACTAGGAGAAGTATCACAGGTCACATCACCCAAGAGTATCTGGTCTCCTCCACAGTTAAATTCTCACATCATTTTTGGGGAGAGTTCAATTTCTTTTTTCTTGAGACAGGGTCTTGCTCTGCCACCCAGGCTGGAGTGCAGTGCCACGAACACAAACCACTGCAGCCTTAAACTCCTGGAATCAAGTGATCCTCCCGTCTCAGCCTCCCACCATCTGGAACCACAAGTGTACCACCACACCCACCTAATTTTTTCTTTTCTTTGTAGAGATGGAGTCTTACTTTGTTGCTGAAGGTGGTCTTGAACTCCTGGGCTCAAGCAATCCTCCTGCCTTACCCTCCCAAAGTGCTGGGATTACTCCTCCCAAAGTACTGACCACCATGCCTGGCCAAGAGTTCAATCTCATTAAAGGAAGGTATGAAAGTATACATTCAAAGGAAGAAAATAACCAGTTAACACTTTGGTCTTCCTCGGGGTAGTGAATCACAAATTTTCCTTCTTTATATTTCTGAATTTTCCTAGCTTTTTTTTTTTAACTGAATAGTTTAATAATCAGCAAAAAAGACGTATCATTTTAAATAAAAGGTAGTGGGCCAGGCGTGGTGGTTCACGCCTGTAATCCCAG
This sequence comes from Homo sapiens, assembly GCF_000001405.40. Classification (NCBI taxonomy): domain Eukaryota; kingdom Metazoa; phylum Chordata; class Mammalia; order Primates; family Hominidae; genus Homo; species Homo sapiens. The sequence goes on along the minus strand of NC_000003.12, from coordinate 128,732,303 downwards.
CACCTTGGGAGGCCAAGGCGGGCGGATCACAGGGTCAAGGGATTGAGACCATCCTGGCCAACATGGTGAAACCCCATCTATACTAAAAATACAAAAATTAGCTGGGCATGGTGACGTGCACCTGTAGCCCCAGCTACTCAGGAGGCTGAGGCAGGAGAATTGCTTGAACCCGAGAGGCGGAGGTTGCAGTGAGCCGAGATCATGCTACTGCACTCCAGCCTGGCGACAGAGCTTGACTCTGTCTCAGAGAGAGAAAAAAAAAAAAGGTAGTGGAAGAAAGAGACACTTTTTTTTTTTTTTGAGATGGAATCTTGCTCTGTCGCCAGGCTGGAGTGCAATGGCACGATCCCGGCTCACTGCAAGCTCCGCCTCCCCAGTTCAAGCGATTCTACTACCTCAGCCTCCTGAATAGCTGGGACTACAGTGCATGCCACTATGCCCAGCTAATTTTTATATTTTTAGTATAGACGGGGTTTCACCACGTTGGCCAGGATGGTCTCTATCTCTTGACCCTGTGATCCACCCTCCTCGGCCTCCCAAAGTGCTGGGATTACAGGTGTGAGCCATCGCCCCCGGCCGAAAGATACACTTTTACAAGGGGTGAAATGTCGTGGTCTTTAGGGCACTAGCATATAATGGAAAGGCAGGATGGTACATCAGAAAGAGCACTGAACTGAGTTAGCAGACCTAGACTGACATTCCAGCTGAGCCACCTGAGCATACAGCCTCAGCTATTTCAGGCAGATACACACAACAGTTGTGAGCACCAAATGAAATCACATGTAAACTACAAATACCACAGAAACATTAAAAAGCATTTAAAGGCAAATGTGTAGGAAGGTTTCTACAAAATGTTATCGCTTTTTTAACAACCATTAACATGGTGCAGGTCAGAGGATTTAAGAGTGGGTTTTAAATGACCCGCAGTTATCTCAGGGATCCTCATATCTGTAAGTGAACAGAAGAACTGTTGGTAGGCTGACTGAATACCACATATAAGGGACACTATTTTTCATAAAGTCTATGCTTGGTTATTTAAGGTTAATTCATAGCAGCTTTGTAATTATGCACTCTCAAATAACTCAAACTACAAAGCTTATTCAATGGAAACCAACTTTTTATTACACTTACATACCAATATTGGAAATCAATGATGTAACTATTTACTTCACTAAGTAACTTTTAAAGGACTCCTGATCTGAGATGGTTAATGCCCAGCAGTATGAAGCAAAGCTGGAAAGGAAAGGCTGAGGGAGAAGAGAGAACTTCCTTTCCTTTATCTGGCAGCAGCCACACAAGAAGGACCAACTAAGAGACAAGCAAGGCTGGAGAATTCCTAAACTGCCCTTGTCCCAGGCTCCCCTTAAATAGGCTCCCTTGGATTTGCTTGGTCCCAACTGTAGACAGTCCCAGGACACCAGAAGTGGACAACAGAATCAGGCAAACTTAAATTTCTCAGCAGTGATGCCATCACCAAAACAGAGACTCCAGGCCCCATGAGTTAAGTACTGCATCTTCAAGCAAATGAACAAGGCCAATGCTGTAGGTCAGCATTGGAACCAACTCCCAAGCTTTCTTCCTCCCACAAGGAGATATTTTGCAAGTAGCTATTCTTAAATATGTTTTTGTAATCACAGCCTGGGATACTAAAATTGAAACTGGTAACAGACACTGCTAAAAAACTTGTTTTGATTTCACTCGCCACATCACTTTTACCTCTGATTCACAAATCGCAGTGACCACCACCATTAAGAAATGTTTTAAAAATAAGTTTTAGGCTGGGCATGGTGGCTCACGCCTGTAATTCCAGCACTTTGGGAGGCCGAGGCGGGTGGATCACGAGGTCAGGAGATCAAGACCAATCTGGCTAACACGGTGAAACCCCGTCTCTACTAAAAATACAAAAATTAGCCGGGCGTGGTGGTGGGTGCCTGTAGTCCCAGCTACTCGGGAGGCTGAGGCAGGAGAATGGCATGAATCTGGAAGGTGGAGCTTGCAGTGAGCTGAGATGGCACCACTGCACTCCAGCCTGGGCTACAAAGCAAGATTCCGTCTAAAAAAAAAAAAAAAGTTTTAAAACACAAACTATTTTTCTGTCTTTAATGCCATATGGAGTGTGGGGAAAAACAGAATAGAAGATTTAAGAGCAAATAACTGAAAAGATCAGCATATTGCAAAAATGTTTCTGCAGCAAACTGCAGACAGAGAAGCATAGAGAACTATTAGATAATATTAACAGATAAGCATGTGGTAACACAAAGGAATGGATGCCTGAGAATACAATGGTAGCCTTCCTTACATGAGAGGTAAGAATCATCAACAGCAAGCCAATAGCCAAAAAATAAGGGGGGAGGCGGGGAGTTCATTTCTCGAGTTTCAGTCGCCTTCAGAAGAAGACATTTAATGCCAAGGGGAACCTCTGTTTAGCCTTATTCAGGAGGACTTCTAATCCTTACCTCCCCAGGAAAAGCCTGCCTACAGCTCCAAGTCCAACATCTGGTCAAATCTATCTCAGCTGTATTTGTTGAATTAAATGAATGGGGAGATAAATACTTTATCATAGGAAAAACTAAAATATTTGTGTCAAATGCCAGAGAGGAATGTGCATAAGACAACTGTCATATTTGCGTGGTCTGTGTTTGCTACATCTTTGTTTACAAAGTCTAATGCCAAAGTAAGAGCAAAAACGTTATTAGTGAAGATCCCTTTGAAGACTTTTTTTTTTTTTTTTTTTGAGAAGAAGTCTCGCTCTGTCGCCCAGGCTGGAGTGCAGCGGCATGATCTCTGCTCACTGCAAGCCCTGCCTCCTGGGTTCACGCCATTCTCCTGCCTCAGCCTCACGAGTAGCTGGGACTACAGGCGCCCGCCACCACGCCCGGCTAATTTTTTGTATTTTTAGTAGAGATGGGGTTTCACTGTGTTAGCCAGGATGGTCTCGATCTCCTGACCTCATGATCCACCTGCCTCGGCCTCCCAAAGTGCTGGGATTACAGGCGTGAGCCACCGTGCCCAGCTGAAGACATATTAAAAGCTAATCAAATAACCAAAATTTTTTGGCTTCACTTGGCAGTGGGGTCAGAAAACTGATTCAAAGCCACACTTTACTATAAAGAGTTGTTCTCTGATTACAGGGTTGGTGAGCTTAGACACAGTTGGCACTAAAAAAAAATTTTAAAAAAAATTGCCCCAAGTGGTTGCTAACTACCTAGAAGGATATACTAATAAAACTATTTTTAGACTATCTTCTACATTCCACCCTCTGTTTACTTATGCAGTTCTACCACAAATGTAAAATCCAAATCTTCCCTTAAAGAAGGGAATCTAGAAAGTTGTGGGAGATAGGGTAACACAGCTTTTCTATGTAGAATGGTACTGAAACTATGGCCAGTACACTATCAGTGCTACATTAAACTTTCTTGCCAGCTGAAGAAAAAAATCCAGCATGCCAAATGTACCTTTGCTCAAAGACATGGCAGTGCAAGGTAATTACAGTAGTGACATGGACTACCTCTTGAGTGAACAAAAAAATGCTACCAGAGTCGGCCGGGCGCAGTGGCTCATGCCTGTAATCCCAGCACTTTTCGGAGGCCGAGACAGGCGGATCACCTGAGGTAGGCAGTTCGAGACCAGCCTGACCAACATGGAGAAAACCTGTCTCTACTAAAAATACAAGATTAGCTGGGCATGGTGGCGCATGCCTGTAATTCCAGCCACTCGGGAGGCTGAGGCAGGAGAATGGCTTGAACCCGGGAGGCAGAGGTTGCAGTGAGCCGACATCGCGCTATTGCACTCTAGCCTGGGCAACAAGAGGGAAACTCCGTCTCAAAATATAAATAAAATAAAATAAATGCCACTAGAGCAAAAGGAGAAACAAGTTGAGTGTTGAAGGTTACTCTTTAAAAGATGTGATTAATTAGAAACTGTAATATTATCTTCTACACTCTCTGAAGAGCAAACCATACAAATGCTGTTGTTAAAATTAACAAAGCCTTAAAGTTAGCCAGAAGAACACCATCCTTTGGGTTACTACTGATTCACCAGCAGAGATGAGAAATAACTCTTTCCAAAAAGCCTCAAGTTCTACCGCCAAATTATTCCACAACAGAATTTCTGGCCAAGATCATTCACCTTTTAAAAATTCCTTGAGGACAGGAACCACGCCTATCTCCCTGAGTCAATGTCCCACAATGCCTGATACATTGCTGATACTCAATGGATACTCAAAATACTTAATGAATGAATAAAAAGGTGCCTATCATTACTCTAAACTCAAACATTATATAAAGCCACAGTACTTATTACTCACTTAAATATTTTAGGCTAGGTAGCAAAGTTAAAAAAAAAAAAGACAAATATGAATACAACAGGATTGTGAACGCTAAGCTTTAACTTAGCCGGTCCCTTCTTCAGAAGAAGTACTCCTAACTCACCTTCCAGTCCTTAAACTCAAATCTGAACAAACCTTCCCAAGTTTGAAGAGAGAAACACACTAAGAGGAGACTTTATTCATCCATGGATGAGAAATCATGTGCTTCATCAGCTGCTTAAGTCACAAGAAAGAGACAAGAGTCCGTTCTTTAGGAAACCAAAGATGCAGTATTTTGAATAGGGAAGAACCAGCCGGCTGGACAGCCATCAACTAAGGTTGTAAGAAAGGTTCACTAGGCAGGTTTGCCAGGCCTACCTGCAAAATTTTTCAAACCTCAGTTAAGTACCCTGCCGGTATTCAAGAGCTCCTAATTCGGTGACACTACACCACAATATGTGTGATAAGTCGCAAACGGCATTTCTTATGGCTTTAAGGGAGAACTGATGCTACCAGAAAGACTTTCAAATGACATCAATAGAAAGAAAGGAGGTGGTGGGAGGCACTGAGGTACAGATACCAGGTAGCAAAAGATAAACCAGCAAGCTTCAGGGGTACGTGAAAGCAGTACAACCTAGAAATTTAATACAGTGCTCTGGAGTCTGACTGCCTGGGCTTGCATCTCTGCTTCGTAACTTATTAGCTGTGTGACCTTGGCCAAATGGCTTAGCCTCTCTGTTCAACTTCCCACTGTGTTAAGTGGGCACAACAGTGGTACTTCAGAGGGTTGTTCAAAGAACTAAACATAATGATCTGTTAAAAGGTCTTGCCACGCTGCCTAGCATACAATAAACGCTCAAATATTTGCTGTCAATATTCTCAATATTCCCCTTATGACCCCATTAGGTATCAAGCCTAAAATGAATGCAGAAAGAGGCCCCAAACACGGTCGGAATGGAAACACAACTCTACATCCAACTACCATCTTTCCTCGATTAAGTTGAAAAACTTCTCTCAGGATTTACCGTAACATGCCTAGGACAAAAAGCTCCCTGTCTCCCAGCGCCAGAGGCGCCTCAATGTACACAAGTGTCGAGGCGAGCCCAGCGCACGTGACCTGACTCACTGCCTTGACTCAGTTGCCGTCAGGGAACTCCCACTAACAGGGTCAGGCTGTTCAACTGAAGAACCGGATGGGAACGCGGCTCGGCCCCCAGCGCCTGTGACCCATGCCCGCCGGGTGGGCACGGCGGCGGGCGGCGTGGGCTCTGACACCCTCCTGCTCGCCGCGCTAAGGAACTCCACTGGCCAGCGCGTCCTGCCGCGGCGCAGGGCCGCCCAAGTCAAGGAACCCTCTCGGGTCTCTGAGATCCAGGCCAACAGTAAACAGAGCGTCCGAGACGGGTGGCCGGGGCGGGCAACCCGGCCAGAGGTCACGCCCGACGACCTCCGACCTCTCCAAGCCGGGTGGGGTCTTGGCCTGCTCCGGGGGCCTGAGCGATGCCGGGTGTGCCCGCGTGGCCAGGGCTGGGACTGGAGCCTGCCCAGGAGGACAGGGAGGACGCGAGGCCCTGGCGACCGAGGGGCTGAGGGGGGGGATGGGGCCAGGCCGCCGGCCGGGCTGGGCCCGCTGCTTACCGCGGCCGCTGCGCTGGGGGCTCCGGGCCGGGCGCGTCGCGAGGGCTCCCGCCGAGGAGGAGACTAAACGGAGGACAGAAGCGAGAAGGTCCAAGTTCTGGTTCCAGGGAACTCTCCCGAGCTCTCCAAGCCGCCAACTCCGCCGCTGCCGCCGCCTCAGGCTTTATGGCCAAGACTCCAGGCCCGCTCCCACTTCCGCCACCGCCGCCGCCCCGAGCGGAAGTACCTGTCACGAGACGCTCGACGCCAGGGTGCGGGGGAGGAGCCCCGCCTCAACCTTGCGTCACGTTCCGGCTGCCTCGGGACTGAGCCTGGATCTCGTGCTACAAACATGTCTGCCCCCAAATGGTTGTCCCCATCTTTGAGGCTCATACAAGGAGCAGGACGGCGCCATGTTGGACCCACAGACAGATTCCCTCAGCCATCCCTCCTTACTCCAGAATAAATAATGCCACCGAAGAGGGGACAAGGGGTAAACTGGCCATTCCAGTTGTGTCCTTCTTCGAAAGGCATCATTTATCCTTACTTTAATTACTTAACCAAAAATTATTATCACCATTTTACAAATAAGGAACTGAGACTCAGTATATCATGTCACTTGGTCTAGCTCAACACAGAAACTGGTGGAGCGAGGTTTTGAACCAAGATCTGTCTGATGCCAATATGTGTTATCGTTCTAGTAGACTGCAAATGACTACAGCAATTGTGTGGCTCGGTGATAGAGACAGGAGAAATAGGCACTTTGTCTGGCAGAGGAGACAGCCCAAGAAAATGGAAAATGAGCTAAAGCCTCTCTGAACTTAGTATTAGAGAAGATGTGATAAAGATGGACCGGGTAGAACTCTTCTTGTAAGCACAGAGCAGCCTCCCAAGCACCAGCCCCATCCGAACACATCAGGATCCACTCAGAATTTTTGCCTCCATCTTCAACAATGCCCTCTCATAGTCTTTTCTTATTTTGGTTCATGCAAGCTCCATTCTTTCAATTGTTCCATCCAAAAACCTTGCAATTGTTACAGTAAGTAGTCAGACCTGAGCAGGGCAGGAGAGGGGCCACTCCCCGACCAGCAATGTGAGGCAACCATGACGTGGTTGTCAGGTTAAGCTGTCTCTCTAAAATAATAATTGGTTGCAGCCAGACCAGAGAAAGGCAGTCTCCCAATAGATAAAAACACCTAAAACTGGTGATCAGCAGCTTCCCGATAAGATCTCAGGAGTTGAGGGGTCTGGGGAAAAAAAAAATCTCAAAAGCTAGGCAAGCAGTCTCAACCCTGAGATGGTACAATGTCTGGGGTTTCCCCTACTTTTTCAACCAAAATTGGCTCTTTCCCCAAAACCCTCACCACCTATTCTCCTGTTTTCTCTATGTGTATTCTGAAATGGCCTTGCACACTGCAGAACCATCCGCCTCTGGGGTAAGTCCACTCTTTCTCTGCTTTCACTTTGCATGTGCCCAGGAGTTCAAGACCAGCTTGGGCAACATAACAAGACTGTCTCTTCCAAAAGATAAACAAAAAAGAAAAGAGAAGGCACACATCTACATCAGACCTCTGCAGTTGTACTTCTCTCTACCTGGAAAGCTCTTCCTCCAGGTATCTGCTTGGCCACTCCCTCACTTTCCTCTGGTCTTGACTTTAAAGTAACCTTTTCAGTGAAATAGCCTTCCCTATTTAAAACTGAAGTCCCTCTCCCTGTCACCACAATACAAACACAAAAATTGACATCTCCCTACTGCTTTTCTCCTCTGTTTTTTCTTTTTTATTTTCTTTTTCTTTTTTTTTTTTTTGAGAAAAGTTCTTGCTCTGTTGCCCATGCTGGAGTGCAGTGGCATAATCAGGGCTTACTGCAGCCTTGAACTTCTGGGCTCAAGTGATCCTCCTGTCTCAGCCTCCTGAGTAGCTGAGACCACAGGCGTGCACCACTATGGCTGGCTAATTTTTTTTTTTTTTTTGTAAAGAGAAGTTTTCACTATGTTACCCAGGCAGTCTTGAACTCCTGGTGTCAAGTAATGGTGTCAAGTAATCCTCCCGACTCAGCCTCCCAAAGTTTTTCCTCTTATACTACTCACTTATTTGCATATTGTCTGTCTTCCCCACTAGAATGGCAGCTCCACAAGGCAGCTATTTTTGTCTGTCTCATTCACTGCGATATCCCTGATTCTTGAAACAGTGTTGGGGTACAGTAGGTGCTCAATGTGTACAATTTGCAGAGTATTCAGGGGAATGAAAACTGAAAATAGTTTCAAAGGCCAAGAGTTATGATAATTCCACCCCGTTAGGCAGCCAATCAAAATGCTAGGTTTGAAGGTAAAGTAGCAACTGGGAATGCAGTAGTCCTCATCCCCAGGTTTGGCAGGGCTGACTGCAGGATTTGAGCATCTGAGTCCTAGAACCAATCCACCACAAATAGCAAGGGACAATTATACCAGAAAAGGCAGAGCACAAAAATAAAATGGGACATGTGGGCCCCAGCCTTCTAAGAAGCCTTCTGAGAAGGCTATTCAGATGCAAACATGGACTATTTCCTATGGGAAAGAAAGGACAACTTAGAAGAAACCCATGAGCCAAGAGGATAGAGCCAGGAGCTGCAGATAATCATTCCCAAGGAGCAGGAGGGGACTCGAATCAAGGAACTGGCATCACGTGCCTCGCTGATTTCAGAATTACTATGACCCAGTGGCAGCTGTCGCTCCTGTTTTTTCCCCTTTTGAACAAAAGTGTCTACTATGCTTATCTTCTTCTTGCCAACTCTGTATGCTGGGTCCGTGGACAGCAGATAACATCTCTAGCTCACAGGCCTTCAGAGGAACAGTGCTCAGAGCCGTTCTTAAGGAATTATATCTGAGGAACCTCATCCACATCTGGACCCAATTTACATGGCAAGATCCATTATGAGCCAGTGATGTATTGGGATTGAGACTTTTAGGGTTCTTGGGGGAGTTAAGTAGAGCAGGGCCTCCAGTAACATCATTTCAATTATAACATTGATGAGAAAAAATTGATTCCTGGCTGGGGCCCCTGTCTGTGTAGTTTACACTCTTTCCCCATGTCTGAGTTTTCCTTGGTTCCTCTGGTTTCCTCCCACATCCCAAAGATGTGCCCTTTAGGTGAATTGGCTTGTCTGAATTGTCCCAGTCTCTGTGTGTGTGTGTGTGTGTGTGTGTGCACGTGCGCACACGTGTACACAATGGGCTGGCATCCTGTGCAGGGTTGGTTCCTGTCCTGAGCTGCCAGGATAGACTGGCCACCTGTGACCCTGAGATGGAATAATTGGATAAATAATTATCTTGCTCATTTTCATTAATCTGTCTTAAATATATATATAGTTCACATTTACTTTAATATTTAATATTAGAAGTGTTTTGGTCTTTACCAGCCTGACCAACATGGTGAAACCCCGTCTCTACTAAAAATACAAAAATTAGCCGGGCGCTGTGGCACGTGCCTGAAATCCCAGCCCAAATCCAAGGGACATCTTGGCTTTAGCACAACCTACTCTCTTGGGAACTAATCAATTCCTGTGAGAACTCATCCAGCCTCACCAGAGCCAGAACTCACTCACTCACTCACTACCTAGAATGGCACCAAACTATTCATGAGGGAACCCCCCCACAACTCAAATACCCCCAACTAGGCCCCACCTCCCAAATCTCCACACTGAGGAATCACATTTCTTTTTTTTTTTTTTTTTTTTGAGACAGAGTTTTGCTCTGTCGCCTAGGCTGGAGTGCAGAGGTGCTATCAGCTCATTGCAGCCTCCACCCACTGGGTTCAAGCAATTCTCGTGCCTCAGCCACCCGAGCAGCTGGAAGTACAGGCGTGCACCACCATGCCCAAATAATTTTTGTATTTTTAGTAGAGATGGAGTTTCACCAAGTTGGCCAGGCCCATATTGAACTTCTGGCCTCAAGTGATCTGCCCCCCTCAGCCTCCCAAAGTGCTGGGATTACAGGCGTGAGAGCCACCACTCTCAGCCTGCCTGGATCACATTTCTTTTTTTTTTTTTGGAGGGGGCAGAGTCTCGCTTTGTTGCCCAGGCTGGAGTGCAGTGGAGCAATCTTGGCTCACTGCAACCTCCATCTATGAGGTTCAAGTGATTATTGTGCCTCAGCCTCCCGAGTGACTGGGATTACAGGCACCTGCCACCATGCCCAGCTAATTTTTGAATTTTTAGTAGAGACGGGGTTCGCCGTGTTGGACAGGCTGGGCTCAAACTCCTGAGTTCAAGTAATCTGCTCTCCTCAGCCTCCTAAAGTGCTGGGATTACAGGTGTGAGCCATTGCACCTGGCCTGGGATCACATTTCAATATAAGATTTTGGGGGCACGAACACATCATATCCAAAGCACAGCAGGTATGTTGGAGGAGATTAGGAGTGAGAAGTTCAGTTCTGGAAATGCTGAGACAGAGGACTTCCGTGAAACATCCAAGTGGAGATGGGGAGGAGGCAGTTAGACATTTTGGGCTGAGGCAGAGATGGGAGTTGGGTTTCTGGGTCCTTCAGGGTAGCCTCAGCTGAAAATAGAAATTTAAGAGTAGATGGAAATGAAAGTAACGGGTGTTAACAGGATTGCCCATGGAGAAAGTGGACAAGTACATCCTTCTTTCAACAAACGATTTACTGAGAATCTCCTATATGCTAGGCTTTTTGTTAGGTTCTAAGGACACAAGGAAAACAAGGCCATTGATATCAAGAGCCTTACTACTTAGTGTGGTACACAATGTACAAACGTACACACACACACACGTCCCTGCACAATTTTCATTCAAATTTCTATCAATAGGGAACTGGTAAAAAAGGTATGGTACATCTTGACAATGAAATACTGTGCAACTATAAAAAAGCAATAAGATAATTCTCTATATATTGGTATGGAAGGATCTCCAAGAGATATTGTTACATGATAAAACCAGATGCAGAAGAGTATCGGGGAACCTGCCCCCGATAGTCACATAGGTTTTTTTCTATTTTCCCTAAGCATCGGCCAGGTTGAGAAATAAAGGGACAGAGTACAAAAGAGAGAAATGTTAAAGCTGGGCGTCCGGGGGAGACATCACATGTTGGTAGGTTCCGTGATGCCCCACAAGCCGCAAAACCAGCAATTTTTTATTAGGGACTTTCAAAAGGGGAGGGAATGTACGAATAAGGTGTGGGTCACAGATATCATGTACTTCACAAGGTAGTAAGTATCACAAAGCAGATGGAGGCAGGGCAAGATCACAGGACCACAGGACCGGGGGCAAAATTAAAATTGCTAATGAAGTTTTAGGCACCATTGTCATTGATAACATCTTATCAGGAGACAGCGTTTGAGAGCAATCGGTCTGACCAAAATTTATCAGGCAGGAATTTCCTCATCCTAATAAGCCTGGGAGCGCTATGGGAGACTGGGGATTATTTCATCCCTACAGTTTCGACGACAGAAGACGGCCACACCCAAGGGGGCCATTTTAGAGACCCACCCTCAGGGGCACATTCTCTTTCTCAGGGATGTTCCTTGCTGGGAGAAAGAATTCAGCGATATTTCTCCCATTTGCTTTTGAAAGAAGAGAAATATGGCTCTGTTCTGCCTGGCTCACCAGCAGTCAGAGTTTAAGGTTATCTCTCTTATTCCCTGAACATTGCTTTTATCCTGCTCTTTTTTCAAGGAGCCCAGATTTCATATTGTTCAAACACACATGCTCTATAATTTGTGCACTTAACGCAATTATCGCAGGGTCCTGAGGCAACATGCATTCTCCTTGGTTTAGGAGATGACAGGATTAAGAGATTAAAGTAAAGACAGGCATAGGAAATCACAAGGGTATTGATTGGGGAAGTGATAAGTGTCCATGAAATCTTCACAGTTTATGTTTAGAGACTGCAGTAAAGACAGGCATAAGAAATTATAAAAGTATTAATTTGGGGAACTAATAAATGTCCATGAAATCTTCACAATCCACGTTCTTCTGCCATGGTTTCAGCCAGTCCCACTGGGGTCCCTGACTTCCCGCAACAGAAGAGTATATATCATATGCTTTAAAAGGTAAAGAATAAGAACATCCTTCGGCAACTAATAAAAGTGGTTACCTGGTATATCAATTAAAATCAGAGAAGTAGAAGCACTGTGAGTGATTAGAATGAGGAATTAATGGAAGGGGCTAGACCTTATCGATTTGTGGGAGTTGGTAGAAAGTCTACACAGGCTGTTCCTTCTGTGTCTGGTGTTGAGCCCAACGTCAGTCACTACAGGTCAGTTAGACCAGCATTCAGGAATAAAAGCTGGATGTGGATAAGAATAATGACACACTGGGGCCAAGGAGGATAAAAAGAGCCACCCATGAGGACCAACTGGGAGCCATATCTGTCTCTCATCACTTCTAAGTTCAGTGCCATGAATGGGTGAGCAGCAGCAGAACCCAACACCTTTCATCCAGAGCTACACACACACTTAGGCCAGGATTCAGAGAAGCCAAAGGAGGAGATCTGGTGGGGGCTGTAGGAGATGCACTTCTGGGTTGGCACCCTTTGCCAACAAGTCTAGTTACACAATGAATAAGCTGCCCCAGTGCTTGGCATGCTGCATGACCTTCAGAGTACAAAAAATATTGGCCAGGCACAGTGGCTCACGCCTGTAATCCCAGCACTTTGGGAGGCCGAGGCAGGCAGATCACGAGGTCAGGAGATCGAGACCATCCTGGCTAACATGGTGAAACCCCGTCTCTACTAAAAATACAAAAAATTAGCCAGGTGTGGTGGCACGCACCTGTAGTCCAAGCTACTTGGGAGGCTGAGGCAGGGGAATCACTTGAACCCAGGAGGCAGAGATTGCAGTGAGCCAAGATCATGCCACTGCACTCCAGCCTGGGCGACAGAGAAAGACTCCATCTCAAAACAACAACAACAACAACAAATTGGCCAGGCACGGTGGCTCATGCCTGTAATCCCAGCACTTTGGGAGGCTAAGGCAGGTGGATCACCTGAGGCCAGGAGTTCAAGACCAGCCTGGCCAACATGGCGAAACCCCGTCTCTATTAAAAAATACAAAAAATTGCCAGGCGCGGTGGCTCACGCCTGTAATCCCAACACTTTGGGAGGCTGAGGCGGGCAGATCACGAAGTCAGGAGATAGAGACCATCCTGGCTAACACGGTGAAACCCTGTCTCTACTAAAAATACAAAAAATTAGCCAGACGTGGTGGTAGGCTCCTGTAATCCCAGCTACTTGGTAGGCTGAGATAGGAGAATCGCTTGAAACCAGGAAGTGGAGGTTGCAGTGAGCCGAGATTGCACCACTACACTTCAGCGTGGGTGACAGAGAGAGACTCTGTCTCAAAAAAAAAAAAAACAAAAAAAAATCACTGCTGTTAGAGAAGAGAATTCTGGTAAATGGTAAATGTAGCTTAATTGACACAGCACAAAACCACTACACTATTCCTGATGATGGGACAGGAAAGGGAGCTGGGTTTTTCTGTGGACATCAGTTTATATATGTTTAAGTTTTAACCATGATATTTCATTAACTATCAAATGTTTCAATTTTTTAAAAAAAATCCATAATGTGATCAATGAGATGCAGACAATAAAACAGTGTTACAGAACAGTGATGGAGGTGGAAGTGAGGAGAGGTGACTTAGACATAGGTGGTCAGAAAGTCCTCTCTGAGGAGGTGCCTTTTTTCTGGAGACAGAATCTTACTATGGTCCCCGGACTGGAGTGCAGTGCTATTCACAGGCACAATTACAGTGCACTGCTGCCTCAAACTCCTGGCCTGTAGCTCTCCGTCCTCCTGTCTCAGCCTCCAAGTAGCTGGGACAACAGGCATGTGTCATTGCACCCCACTGGAGGTAACATTTGAGCAGAGACCTGCTGACATGGAGCCAGCCTTTTGAGAATACCTGAGCAGAAAATGTTACAGGTGGAAGGAATAGCAAGGGTAGAAGCTTTGTGCAGAAAAAGGTGTCCTGCTCAAGGAACAAGGAAGCCAGCGTGGTTGGAGCAGAGTGAGCGAAGGAGAGAGTAGAAACAGTTGAGGTGGGAGCAATGTGCAAACCTAGGTCATATAGGGTCTCACAGGTCATAGCAAGGCCTTGCAAATTTATAGCATGTGTGATGAGAAACCCTGTGGAACATTTTAAGCCAGGGGGTGGGGAGTATGTGTGTTTGTGTGTGTGTGTGTGTGTGTGTGTGTGTGTGTGCGTGTGTGTGTGTGTGATGTGTCTTCCTTCACAGGTTGTTTGTACAGCAGAGCCTTTTCTGGCCACCGCCCTTTTCTCCTCTTTTCCCACAGTGAACCCATGACTCTCTGGCTGTTTATTTATCATCGAAACTGGGGGGGTCTTTCAGGGCCAGGACCTGCTCTGGTCTACTTTGATGTCCCCAGCACCCTACTGGGCATTGACAAATGTTAACACATAGTTGAGCAATTTAAAGCAGAGAAAAATATTGAATTATTCTGACATAGCTTTGCATGATTTATAAAGTTCTCTGGATTTTGCTACCTTATTACTTTGTATGTATTTATTTATTTATTTTTGGGACAGAGGCTTACTCTGTCACCCAGGTTGGAGTGCAGTACTGTGATCATAGCTCATCGCAGCCTCAACCTCCTGGGCTCAAGTAATCCTCCCGTCTAAGCCTCCCGAGTACCTGGAACCACAGGTGCACCACTGTGCCTGGTTAATTTTTTTTGTTTTTTTGGTAGAGATAGGGTCTCACTGTGTGACCCAGCCTGGACTCAAACTCCTGTCTTCAAGCAATTCTCCTGCCTTAACTTCCCAAGTAGCTGGGACTACTGGCACGTGCCACCACACCGAGCTAATTTTTAAATACTTGTAGAGATAAGGTCTCACTATGTTGCCCAGGCCGGTCTCTAATCCTTGGGCTCAAGTGATCCTCCCACCTTGGCCTCCCAAATTGCTGGGATTACAGGTGTGAGCCACTGTGTCTAGCCAGGTTTTGCTGCTTTAAAGTGGACAATTTTATCCAAGGTTTCCTTCTTGGCAGTTTTTATTAATCCAGAAGTCACCAGCTGGCTGTCCCAACATGCCGCACTATAGTCTTTCATCCTTGGTAACTTCTGGTCCCCAGCACCCAGTCTGAGCTCCTGTGTCAGTGCAATTCTCTTGAGCTCTCTGGGCCCCAGTATCCTCACTTCCCATAGTGGTGATATGGTCAGGCTCAGTGGCTCACTCCCAGCACTTTGGGAGGCCAAGGCGGGCAGATCACTTGAGGTCAGAAGTTCGAGATCAGCCTGGCCAACATGGTGAATACAGTCTCTACTAAAAATACAAAAAATAAGGCCAGGCATGGTGGCTCACACCTGTAATCTGAGCACTTTGGGAGGCCAAGGTGGGTGGATCACTAGGTCAGGAGTTCGAGACCAGCCAGGCCAACATGGCGAAACCCTGTCTCTACTAAAAATAGAAAAGTTAGCCAGGTGTGATGGTGCACACCTGTAGTCCCAGCTACTTGGGAGGCTGAGCCAGGAGAATCAATTGAACCCGGGAGGCAGAGGTTGCAGTGAGCCGAGATTGCGCCACTGCACTCCAGCCTGGACAACAAAGTGAGAATCCGTCTAAAAAAAAAAAAAAACCAAAAATTAGCCAGGTATGATGGCACAGGCCTGTAATCCCAGCTACTCAGAAGGCTGAGGCACAAGAATCTCTTGAACCTGGGAGGCAGAGGTTGCAGTGAGCCGCGATCACACCACTACACCCGGCCTGGGCAACAGAGCAAGACTGTGTCTCAAAAATAAAAAAATAAAATAAAATAAAATAATAAAATGGGCCAGGCGTGATGGCTTACTCCTGTAATTCCAGCACTTTGGGAGGCCAAGGTGGGCAGATTACCTGAGGTCAGGAGTTTGAGACAAGCCTGGCCAACATGGCGAAACCCCGTCTCTACTAAAAATACAAAAGTTAGCCTGGCATGATGCACGCCTGTAGTCCCAGCTACTCGGGAGGCTGAGGCATAAGAATCAATTGAACCCTGGAGGTGGAGGTTGCAGTGAGCTGAGATTGTGCACTCCAGCCTGGGCAACAAAGTGAAACTCCGTCTAAAAAAAAAAAAAAACACCAAAAATTAGCCAGGTGTGATGGCACAGGCCTGTAATCCCAGCTACTTGGAAGGCTGAAGCATGAGAATCACTTGAACCCATGAGGTGGAGGTTGCAGTGAGCCCAGATCATGCCACTGCACCCAGCCTGGGCAACATAGCAAGGCTCTGTCTCAAAAATAAAATAATAAAATAATAAAATGGGGCAGGTGCAATGGCTCACGCCTGTAATCCCAGCACTTTGGAGGGCCAAGGTGGGCAGATCACCTGAGGTCAGGAGTTCAAGACCAGCCTGGCCAACATGGCAAAATCCCATCTCTACTAAAAATACAAAAAAAAAAAAAAAAATTAGCCAGGTGTGGCACCCGCCTGTAGTCCCAGCTACTTGGGAGGCTGAGGCAGACTAATCACTTGAACCTGAGAGGCAGAGGTTGCACTGAGCCAAGGTCACACCACTGCACTCCAGCCTGGGTGACAGAGCGAGATTCCTTCTTAAAAATATATAAATAAATAAATAAATAATAAAATGGTGATGATAAACCCTACCTCTGAGTTCTTGTGAGAATCAGATGTGAAAATGATTTATAAAGCACTCCTTCAGCCAGACACAGTGGCACATACCTGTAGTCCCAGCTACTCCAGAGGCTGAGGCAGGAGGATCACTTGAGCCCAGGAGTTTGAGTCCATCCTGGGCAACATAGCAAGACTCCATCTCTTAAAAAAACAACTTAAAAACAAATAAATAAAGTTCTCCTTTACATTACAAGAGAATGACTGACATTACATGTCAGTTGCCAGGTGAGATAAATCTCATGTGGTAGCTTGAGGCACTTTTCTATTAGGTGCTATAAAGGAAGTAAAGGTTTGTCCATTCATTTATTCAAAAGCAATCAATTTTTAGCTTCCAGAGTATGACCACAGGGACACAGAGATGAACCAGTGCACCAGGAGCTCCCAGTTCTATGTATGTGGCTGGGGGAACACCCACAGGAAGACAACCGCACATCACACTAGCACGTAATCTCCCATCCTTCCTCTTCCTTGTGCCACACTAGCCACAGCTGCTTTTTAGAGCCTTCCTGCACACAGGCTGCATTGCACCCCTCTGCCCACAGTGACTCTTTTGGAAGAGGGCACTTGACCACATCCAGGGCACTCAGGGCCAATAACACTCAATGGATCTGTTTTAGGATGGAAGGAGCATGAAGAAAGATTAAAGCATGTCTAGAATTGTTGGGGACTTCCTGTCACCTTGAGAGAACCTGAGAACCTGAGAACCTGAGAGTGAAGCTGTCTTTGGCCGTGCCTGCTGCTATAACAAAATACCTTAGACAGGGTCATTTATAAACAATAGAAATTTATTACTCAGAGTTCTGGTGCCTGAGAAGTCCAAGATCAAAGCACTGGAAGATTCAGTGTCTGGTGAGGGCTTGCTCTTTGCTTCCAAAATGGTGCATTCTGTCTGAGTCTTCCCATGGCAGAGGGAGTGGGAGGGATGATCAGGTTCCCTCAAGCCCTTTTGTAAGGCCACTGGTCTCTTTCATGAGGGTAGAGCCCTAATCACCTCCCAAAGGGCACACCCCTTAATACCATCATTTTGATGGTTAAGTTCCAACATAGTCTCCATGTGTCTTTGGAACCTGTCAGCTGTGGCAGTTGCCCTTCCTAGCCATGGAAGAGTAAGTATATTCTTGTTTATTGGCAAAGCTGTCACCATTTCATTGGTATCAGATTCTGACTTGCACAAGTAACATTCTTCACCATTAAAAACCTAGAGGCTGCTGGGTTATTGGGCAAACTTTTCCAAACTATTGTTCAAATGTTTCTAGAAAAAAAAAAAAAAGTTTCCAACATAGGAATTTTGGGAAGGGGCACCAACATTCAGTCGATAGCAGAAGCCAAGTCAAAATAAGAGGAAAACAGGCTGGGTGCAGTGGCTCATGCCTGTAATCCCAGCACTTTGGGAGGCCGAGGCAGGTGGATCACCTGAGGTCAGGAGTTCGAGACCAGCCTGACCAACATGGAGAAACCCCGTCTCTACTAAAAATACAAAATTAGCCAGGCATCGGGGTGCATGCCTCTAATCCCAGCTATTCAGGAGGCTGAGGCAGGAGAATCGTTTGAACCTGGGAGGCAGAAGTTGCAGTGAGCCGAGATCATGCCATTGCACTCCAACCTGGGTGACAAGAGCGAAACTCCATCTCAAAAAAAAAAGTGGGGGGGGAGGGGGCGATGAGACCCTATCTCAAAATAGAGGAAAACGAGGAAATGAAGAGGGACTTGTCTAAGTGATGCAATTTTGGGCACCTGTATTTAGCCATGCCAGAAGCCATCTGCTCCCCTCCCTGTCCCTCTTGGTCCCCAACCCCACTTTTAGGCCTTTACCACTTGCTTAATGGAAAGTCACAGCCGCACCCAGGGGCTGCCTCAGAGTGGACTCAGAGGCTTTGGCTTCCCCAGTGACTGCCCAGATGAGCCAGGTAATATAACCCAGAAATGTGGGGAGTGAACTTTCCTATGAGTAAACTCTGACCAGCAAGACAGGATTCAGAAAGGAACTGAGGGGTAAAATCTCTACTTTACCTCTTCTCAGTAGACTGTTGAGCATGACCTCCCTGGAGATGTCGCATGGGACTAGGTTATCAGAATTTGCAAATACAAATACTTATGTTAAAACATTATTTGCGTTCATCTGAAATTCAAATTTAATCAGGCATCCTTTTTTTGATCTGGCAGCCCAAACCCAACGACCATGTTTGCTGAGACTCTGTGGCCAGTTTGGTGACACGCGACCTTGTCTTTGCTTTTCCTCCTGCACTCTGTTCTTTACTCCTCTCTTTCCTTTACTCTTGCTGCCCTGGGATTGAATCCCATAAGATTATAGCACGTTAAGCTTGTTCTCTGGCTCTTTTTCTAGAGGGCAAACAAAGAAAGGCAAGCCAAATCAGGTAGGATTTCTGTCACTTGCATCTGAAGAATCCTTAAAACAAAAATGTAGCCTCAGTTCCCCCTCCTGTGGGATAAGGATGACTATTTCTGCCCCATTGACAGCCTTGGATGGATGGTGCTATTGTTTGGATATTTGTTCCCTTCAAATCTCATGTTGAAATGTAATCTGCAGCATTGGAGGTGGGGCCTGATTGGGGTGTTTGGGTCATGGAGGTGGATCCTTCATGAATGGTTTGGTGCCCTCCTTGTAATGAATGAGTTATCGCTCCAAGTTCACATGAGATCTGGTTGTTTAAAAGAATGTGGCACCTCCCCGCTTCCTCTCTCTTGCTCTCAATCTCACCATGTGACATTCCTGCTCCCCCCTGGCCTTCTGCAACAATTGGGAGCATCCTGAGGCCCTCAGCAGAAGCAGATGCTGGCACCACGCTTCCTGTACAGCCTGCAGAACCGTGAGCCAATTACCCAGACTCAGGTATTCCTTTATAGTGATGCAAATGGAGTGACACAGATGGGAAGATCAAATGGCCTGAGGAAGGACAGGCGGTAACACCAGGACCAATGGGCCACTCTAGTGGGCTTGAGCCCCAGCACTGCCTCCTGCCACACTGAGCTCATGAGGCTGCTAGGAAATGGGGCTGCTTGCCCTGCTGTGGCTGTGGGTTCCTTCTGTGTTCTCTCAGTGGGATGATGTCTCCCCTGGCTCCGCTTCACCAGACCACAGCACCTGCCTGCTTCAGACCTTGCCAGTCAGATTAACAAGCACCAGGGAGACCAAGAGGACTGGGGCACTGCCTTTACCCTGCCACTCTTTCTACAGCGTGGACTGCAGCCCTCCATGCTGACAGGGTTGTGGGAGGCTCGGCCTGTCTTTACCTAACGAACGCTTGCCTCTCCCTGAGTGCGCCTGCAATTCCCTTTGCCTAGAATGACCCTAACATGGCCTTCAAGGCCCTGCACTATCTGGCCTTTATCCATCTTTCATTTATTTATTCAGTCAACAAACACAGCTTGGGCAGACTGTGTGGCAGGCACTGTTCTAGGCACTGTCTACCAAGAGACAGCAGTGAACAAAACACAGACAGAAATCCCTGCCTTCATGGGACTTACAGTCTAGTGGCAGAGACAGAAAATAAAGCATGTACGTAAGAGAAATACATAGCATAATAGGCAATAAGAAGTGTGATGGGGAAAAATAAAGCAGGAATGACAGGTGGGGACACACCCTGGCCCCATCTAACCTCAGTCTCTCCCCAGTCAACCCATTCCCACCATGCTGGCCTTCTTCCTGTCTCAAGAGCACCAAGCTCCTTCCCACCTTGGGGCCTTTGTGCCTCTAGTTCCTCTGTCTAGGAAAGTCTCCTCCTTCCCCTTCCCTAATGCAAAGATTGTTGCATGGCTGGATTCTTCTTACCATTGGGGTCTCAGCTCAAGTGACACTCCAGGGAGGCCCTGCTGGATCATCTGGTCCAGTGCCTTTTCCCAGTTATTCTTTATCCCATTACCTGTTACACTGGTATGTTTTCTCCATGTCACCACTTTGAGAACTGCTCCTCTGTACTTTATGTATTTACATGCTCAGTGTTTCTGCCCCTAGAATTTCAGCACCATGAGAGTGGAGGACTTTGTCTGTCTGGTTTGCTGCTGCCCCTCCAATGCCTGGAACATAGTAGGTGCTCAGTGAGTAGTTACTGAGTTACTGACACAGTTATTGCTCTTTTGTCCTCCCCCCACCCCCACCCCAAGTTCATTTTCTTTCACCTAAAGAACTCCTACTTTTCCTTTAAGACTAGTCTAGCAAGAGACCGGGCGCGGTGGCTCATGCCTGTATTTCCAGCACTTTGGGAGGCCGGGGTGGGCAGATCACAACATGGTAAAACCCCTTTTTACAAAAAATACAAAAGTTAGCCAGGCGTGGTGGCACACACCTGTAATTCCAGCTGCTCAGGAGGCTGAGGTGGGAGGATGGCTTGAGCCTGGGAGGCAGAGGTAGCAGTGAGTCAAGAACACGCCACTTCTCCACTCCAGCCTAGGCGATAGAGCCAGACCTTGCCTCAAAAACAAAAACAAACAAACAAACAAAAAGACTATCTAGCAGAGAGACACCAGTAAAGACTACAATACTGTATTAATTAAGGTAACCCTAGCTGCTATAACAAATAGGCCTTCAAAGGAATTACGTCTCAGACATAATTGAAGCAGGTGGCTTTCCTCTATACATTGATCCTGGGTGCTGGGCTCTGTCCACCTTGTGGCAGCACCATTCCTAAGAATCTTGTCATTGCCCAAATACAGCTGGTAGCAGGACATTGACAGTGTGTAGACGACACACCCGCTTCTTAAAGGCCTTGGTGTGGAAGTGACACATGTGGGTTCTGCTCACATTCCTTTGGCAAGAGCCAGTAGTATGACCACCTAGATGTAAGAGGCAGTGGGAAATGAGGTGCCAGCTGGACAGCTGCTTTCCAGCAACATCCACATGCTGTAGAAGAGGGAGAATAAACTGTGCTTGAGAAACTGTATTTCTGGGCCAGTTGCGGTGGCTCACGCCTGTAATCCCTGAACTTTGGGAGGCCCAGGTGGGCGGATCACTTGAGGTCAGGAGTTGGAGACCAGCCTGGCCAATGTGGTGAAACCCCATCTCTACTAAAAATAGAAAAAATTAGCTATGCGTGGTGGCAGGCACCTGTAATCCCAGCTACTCAGGAGGCTGAGGCCAGAAGAATCACTTGAACCCGGGAGGTGGAGGTTGCAGTGAGCAGAGATCACTCCACTGCACTCCAGCCTGAGTGACAGAGCAAGACTCCATCTCAAAAAAAAAAAAAAAGTAATTGTATTTCTGCCTCGGCCACAAATACAGTGTCTCTGCTGCAAATACAGTGTGGTAAAGGAAGCAAAGGAGCTAGGATGACCCAGTAGAGGCACTTAATATAGCCAGAAAGTTAGAGTAGTCAAGCAGGGCTTTCCTGAGGAGACAGTGCTGAGGTGGCTCATGAAGGGTAAGAATCTGTTGGGCAAAGGAAGAGGAAGGTTGTTGCCAGCAAAGGGACCACCATGTGCGGAGGTTTGGTGAAAAGAGAGCATGTCATAAATCGTCCCAGAAAGTGCTGATATATTTATTGCCAAAGGGACAGAGTTAGAGTGAAGGAAGCAGGAACAGCAAAGAAACCCAAGCAGAAAGATCAGGTCATGCCAGGTGGTGAAAGCCTGGACTCGAATGTTTAAGAGGGACTTTTCCTGTTTTCCTGGTATTGACGATGGAGATCCAAAATTTATGACAAATAGTGCTGTGGACCTCACGCTTAAGGATGATTCAAAGACTCTGTTGAGATTGGGGCAAGAACATGCCCCAGGTATGTACAAAGAGGTGGCAGAACCGGCCCTACTACAATCACTCATCCCTCCCCACCCCCAATATGAGCACAAGTGTGAGAAGAAGTGACAGAGGTAATCCATGCTAGTCACTGCCCACTGGGGAATACTAGGGTTTTCTTTCCTTCCTCACTATTGCCAAAGTGAGGGGATTCTAGAAAACTTATTCTGAAAGCCTCGGAGGCAGTGCTATCAGCAGGGAAGATGAGCATCTCATTTCCCAGTGGAACCTCCAATGAGGCAGCAGATGGGTCGATCCTGCCCTCTGCCTCCCTGGAGAGGGAAGGAAGAGTGAGGTAGCCAGAGGGAGGTGGGGGGGTACTAGGAGGGATGGAGGGGGGGGCGCGGGGGCGGGGTGTGGCGGGGCAGGAGGAGACTGCAGGGGAGCTGCCTGCAAAGCCTCAAGCTTCAGGGAAGAGAACAAGGAGGACTTTCCCAGAGTGTAGCACTGGGCTTGAGCCATTGTATCAGTTATCTATTGCTGCAACACAAAACACCTCAAAACTTAGTACCTTAAAGCAATAGTCATTTATTATGTTGTGATTTCTGTGGGCTAGGGGTTCCGACAGGGCACGGTGTGAATGACTTATCTCTACTACATCATGCTTGGGGCCTCAGCTGAAAATCTCAAGGGCTGGGGCCTAGAGCCATCTGAAGCCTTGTCTGGGGCTGGAGGGCCTGCTTCCAAGGTGGTTCGCTGGAGTGGCTGGCAAACTGGTGCTGACAACTGGGCTTCTCTCCACAGGGTTGCTTGAGTGTCCTCAAGGCAGGGCAGCTGACCTCACCCCGAGAGAACAAGCCAAAGGCCCAAGGTAGCACCGCAGGGTCTCATATGACCAAGCCTCAGAAGTCATGCACTGTCCCTCTGACAGAATGCTGCCTGTCACCCAGGCCAGCTTTGATTCAGTGTGAGAGGAGACTACAGATGGACATGAACACCAGTGGGTATGCACCACTGGGGCCAACCCAGAGGCCGAAGATCACATGCATCTTGCTGGCTTCTCACCCAGAAGGACTGGCCTGGGAATGGGGAGCCCTGGAGAGGAGCTGAGGGGGCAAGAAGACATCAAACCCGAGGCAGGTCTCTCTCCTTATGGCCCTGAGCTGGGAGGAAGGCCCCACAGTGTTCTGTGGATAACGTGCAGGTGCCCTATGTGAGACTCTGGGCACACAGAGGGCGCTGATGGCCAGTGAGCATAGCCGGAGAAGCAGAAGTGACCCCATATCATCTATGAAGAAGACTTCTGGCCAGGCATGGTGGCTCAGACCCATAATCCCAGCATTTTGGGAGGCCAAGCTGGGCAGATGGCTTGAGCCCAGGAGTTTGAAACCAGCCTGGGCAACCTGGTGAAACCTCATCCCTACAAGAAGTACAAAAATTAGCTGGATGTGGTGGCATGTGCCTGTGGTCCCAGCTACTCAGTAGACTGAGGCAGAAGGATCACTTGATCCCAGGAGGTTGAGGGTGCAGTAAGCTGTGATCATGCCACTCTACTCCAGCCTGGGTGACAGAGCAAGACTTTGTCTAACAAAATAAAAATAAAAAATTAGCTGACCATGCTGCCACGTGCCTGTGATCCCAGCTACTCAGGAGGCTATGGTGAGAGGATTGCTTGAGCCCAGGAGTTTGAGGCTACAGTGAGCTATGATTGCACCACTGCACTTCAGTCTGGGCAAGAGTGAGACCTTGTCTAAAAAAAAAAAAACAAACAAAAACACTCCTTTCCCAACTACTGTCACCTTTGTCATAAATCAGATGACAGTATGTTAATGTGTCTATTTCTAGACTCTGTCCTGTCCTATTGATCTGTTTGCCTGTCCTTATGCCAATACCACACTGTACTATATTTACATAATATGTGTATTATATTTACATAACGGGTCCTAATATCTGGTGGTGTAAGCCCTCCAACTTTTTCTTCCTCTGACAGATTGCCTTGGCAATCTGAGGTCATCTCCAGCCCTGACTGGGGAGGGATCCACTTTGAAGCTCAGCAGTTCATCCCCTGCCTGCTGGTTGGTGTCTGGAGACATCAGTTCCTTGCCACATGGACCTCTCCACAGGGCTGCTCATGCACATGACACGGCAACCAGCTTCCCTGGGGGGAGGATGCGAGTAACAGAGAGAAGGAGGGACCCAGAGTCTCCATCATGGGAGCCATCGTGTCACAGCTTAATATCGGAAGTAACATTCTATCATTTCTGCTGTATTCTGTTTGTTAGAAGTGAGGAATCAAATCTGGCCCACACCAGAGGGGAGAGGTTTACACAAGAATGTGACTATCAGAAGGTGAGAATCACTGGGGGTCATCTTACAGGCTGCTGACCTACCACATGTACAAAACAGATTGCTTTGTAACCTACTTTTTTTTATTATTAAGATATAATTCAGCCAGGCGTGGTGGCTCACGCCTGTAATCCCAACACTTTGGGAGACCGAGGTGGGCAGATCACCTGAGGCCAGGATGGTCTTGAACGCCTGACCTCATGATCCACCCTCCTTGGCCTCCCAAAGTGCTGAGATTACAGGCGTGAGCCACCACACCCAGCCCTCTTTTTTTTTTTTTTTTTTTTGAGATGGAGTCTTGCTCTGTCGCCCAGGCTGCAGTGCAGTGGCGCAATCTCGGCTCACTGCAAGCTCCGCCTCCCGGGTTCACACCATTCTCCTGCCTTAGCCTCCCAAGTAGCTGGGACTACAGGTGCCCGCCACGATGCCCAGCTAACTTTTTGTATTTTTTTAGTAGAGACGGGGCTTCACTCTGTTAGCCAGGATTGTCTCGATCTCCTCACCTTGTGATCCATCCGCCTTGGCCTCCCAAAGTGCTGAGATGACAGGCGTGAGCCACCGTGCCCGGCCTTTTTTTTTGAATGGCATTATAACTAGATGAACTTCTTCAAATATGACTAATTATTCTACAGTATGATATTTTCATGGCTGATTAGGATTCCATCCTATAAATAAATTATTGCTTATTTAGCAACCACCTCCCAAATGTGCTGCTGAAGCTAGTTTGCACTGAGTCTCAAGAGCCGCTTATGAATATCTCTTTCCAATTCTGTGTTAGTGAAATTCCATCGGTACCTTGAAATCAGCCTGGCAAAAATGTTTACATCACAGAAATTGGCAAAAGCTCTAGAACGTTCATCCCCACTCACAACCAACAGGCAGCTATCAAACATTTAACTTGCTTTGTCATGGGGAGGTTCCTGGTAAGAGTTCTGGGGGCAGGCACCACAACAGAGAGCCACATCGAGACCACATTTTATTCATTGTGTATCCCTGAGACTCAGCAGAAGGCCTACCACATATTAGGTGATAAGGACATTTTCTTCTTTTTGTGTATGTGTTTCTTGACATGGTTGGATTCCCAATCTGAGTACCATTTTATAATCCTTCTCGATTTAGTATTACTTCAAAGCTTCTTATACATTGACACATAATTGTCATTATTTTAACGGCTGTAATTTTCCTTTGAATCAATAAGTCATTAGTTCTTTAACCTCTTCCATGTTGACTTACTCTTAGGTTATTTCCAGTGATTCACAGTGATGGACATCTCTACATAATGAGCTTCCTGAGTCTTGTTGAACCTCCTTTATTATTTTTAGAGATAGGGTATCACCATCTCACCCAGGCTGGAGTAGAGTGGTGAGATCATAGCTCACTGGATCTTTGAACACCTGGCCTCAGGGGCTCCTCCCGCCTCAGGCTCCCAGGTAGATGGAATTACAGGTATACATGCCACCATGCCCAGCTAATTTTTTTTCTTTTTGAGAGGGAGTCTTGCTCTGTCACCCAGGCTGGAATGCAATGGCGTGATCTTGGCTCACTGCAACTTCTGGCTCCCAGGCTCAGGCGATTCTCCTGCCTCAGCCGCCTGAGTAGCTGGGATTACAGACATGTGCCACCACGCCTGGCTAATTTTTGTGTTTTTAGTAGAGATGGGGTTTTACCATGTTGGCCAGGCTGGTCTTGAACTCCTTACCTCAGGTGATCCACCCACCTTGGCCTCCCAAAGTGCTGGGATTACAGACGTGAGCCACCGCACCCAGCCTAATTTTTTTTTTTTTTTAGAGATGGGGGTCTCACTATGTTGCCTAGGCTGGTCTTGAACTCCTGGGCTCACACAATGCTCCTGCCTTGACCTCCCAAAGTGCTAGGAGTACAGGCATAAGCCACCACGCCTGGCTGGAGCTCCTTTAAAGCTGGGAACAGGCCACTTTGCCAAAAGAGCAGTTGAGACAGTGTGAAAAATACATATGACCTCCTAAGTCATTAATTACTTTATATAGTGAGAGTCTGTTTATGACTGAGTCTAGCACCTGCTTTAGGAATCCAAGAAAAACATGGGCCTGAATCTCACAATCACAAAAAACATCCTACATTTAGAAATTTAATGCTTATCATATCACTCCATAGTCCTGAACCAG